>NC_000009.12:31828181-31979696 GCF_000001405.40 Homo sapiens | reverse complement strand
AGAATACTATATCAGCAAAGTTTTCCGTCTAAAATGGATAATAAAGTCTTCCCCAGACAAACAAAAGCTAAAGGAATTTAATGCCAATAGACCTGCCCTACAAGAAATACTTAAGGGAGTTATTCAGGTAGAAATGAAAGGATGGTAATTACTCTCATGAACACATATGAAAGTGTAAAACTCACTAGCAGAGTTAAATCCATAGTCAAATCCAGAGTACTCCAATACTATAATGGTTGTGTATAAATCATACGTATCTCTAGCATGAAGGTTGAAAGTTAAAATGGTCATACATAATTAAAGCTACAATAAGTTGTGAAGGAATGCACAATGTAAAATAATGTAAATTGTGACGTCAAAAACATAAATTGTGAAGGAAGTGTAAAATGTTTACAGTTTTGCATATAATAGAGGTTAATAATCAACTTAAAATTGTTGATTGTAACTATAGGATGTTTTATATAAGTCTTATGGCAACCACAAAACAAAAAACTACAGCCAATATACAAACGATAAAAAGAAAGGAATCAAAACTTGGCACTACAGAAAATTTTCAAATCACAAAGGTAGACAAAAGAGGAAGAAAGAAATAAAGGAGATACAAAATAACTAGAAAAGAAATAATAAAATGGCAGTAGTAAGTCCTTACCTATCAATAATAAACTTGAATGTAATTAGATTAAATTATCCAATCAAGATAGTGGCTGAATGCATAAAGAAAAAGATTCAATCATATTCTGCCTACAAGAGACTCACTTAAGCTTTTAGGACACAACTAGGCTGAAAGTGAAGGTTGTAGAAAGATGAAAATGGTAATCAAAAGAAACCATGAAAATGGTAATCAAAAGAGAGTGGGATGATTATACAGATGATCCTTGACTTACAATGGGGTTACATTTCAATAAACTTATTTTAAGTTGAAAATGTCATAAGTCAAAAATGCATTTTGTACACATATCCTACAGAACATCATAGTTTAGCCTAGCCACATCTTAAATGTGCTCAGAACACTTACATAAACCTAGACACGGATAAGCATTTTGTAGACATGATGGGATGTGAAAACACAAAGCACAATGCCAAAAATACTAACCTGGTAACACAGTATATTGTAGAGTATCAGTGTACTGCTACTCATGATTATGTGCCTGACTGGGGGCTGAAGTTCATTGCCAGTGCCCAGAATTGCCAGAGAATATCATGCACCATATTGGTATCCCATAACATCATGCTATATACCTTAAATAAACACAATAAAAAAGTAATAACAGCTATTATTTATTGATTATTACTTGTGCTAGGCACAAGTAGGGTGCTTGTCGCCATCCTATGTAAATTAAGTATTATTTGCCTATTGTAAAATGGGGAAAGTAAGTCTCAGGAAAGTTAAATAACATACATGAAATTATGAGGTTGATAAATTGTATTAATTAAGGTTTTCCAGAGAAATGAAACCAATAGGATACATTTATATGTCTATATCCATCTCTATATTGAGAGAAATAATGAGACAGAGACACACTCAGATTGCTTTAAGAAATTGGCTTCTGTGATTATGGGGGCTGGCAAGTCTAAAATCCATAGGCAGATTGACAGCCTGGAAATTTAGTAAAGAGTTGATGTTGAGGCCTTGAGTCTAATTCTTCAGGGTTGTAGGCTGGAAACTCAGGCAAAGTTTCTATGTTCAATCTTGAGGAGATTTTTTTTTTTTCTGGGAAATTTCAGTCTTTGCTTTTAAGGCCTTCAACTGATTGGATAGGATCCATCCACATTATAAAGAGTAATCTGCTTTACTCCAGGTCTACTGACTTAAATGCAAATCACATCTAAAAATATTTTCCCCAGCAACATCTAGACTAGTGTTTGACTAAACAACAGGGTATCCTAGCCCAGCAAAATTGACTCATAAATTTAATGATCACGCAATTGGTAATTCTAAATCCAGTCAGAAGTCTACATTCTGTGTCCACAGTGTCATGTCTAGATGTTGGTCCAGTCTCCCATGGACTGTGCCTTGTTATTTGTTTTCTCTTTGCTAAGCCACATCCCCTGAGGGCTCTGTTTATGCTCATTGCAAAATCTTTGACTTTTTAACTTACTGGGCATATTGTCTTCCTACTTTTGTTCTCTTCTGTTATTTTATTTACTTGACTCTGACATGTCTCATTCCCAATGCATTGGCCAGTCATCTTCAAATCCACACTGTAGGTCACAGAGAAAAGCAGTAGATAACAGAATATAAGTGGAGAGCTCAGAGATCTAAGAACTAAAATGTAAGCTGGAGTAAAATTCACTTGTGTTACTTTCAGTAGTGTTGTGTTTATGTTCCCAAGGAGAATGCTGTTAAGATGAAGATGCTGATCATGTTACTTAGTATTACAGAGGTAAGCTATTTTGTGGCAGTGAATAAGCCTTAAGTGCTTTTGGAATGTGCAGAACAGATGTCAAAAAATCAAGTGAGGTCATAATTGAAAGTCCCTCAAAAATTGTAAAAATGATTTAAAAATGTTGGTTATTTCAACACCTAATATGGCTCTTCATTGAATTTTTCTCCTTTCTTCTACTAGATGGGAACATTATCTATCCCCATCTACAAAGGAGTTATTTTGAGGAAGGAACTCTTTCTTACTTGTTTAGTGTAATGACTAAAAGCTCAGATTTTGAGGGCCTGAACTTGAAACCCAATTTGGTCTTTGGGCAAAGCAGGCATCCTCTCTTTGCCTAGGTCTCTTTGTTCTTATTTTTTAAATGGACATAAAATAATAAGTGCCTGGCATGCTTTAGTACTACTATTATTATAGTTATCCCATTCACTAGGACTTGCTCTGTTAATATTAACATCTTAGTCCACATTTTAGATTGATCCTATTAACATGGTTTAAACTGCTTTGATCTTTATAACAAAGCATCCACAGTAACAAAGACCCTATCAAAATCAACCTTTGGGAGCATGAAAACCTGAGAAATGTGAGCCTTTAAAGGCTACTTAGAGACTGGAAACCAAAGTAATTAATTCTTAAAATTATTGAGAAAGAGTAAGAAAATATAGACTCAATAGTGCAGGAATGGTTCTTTCCAATATTGCCTAATGATAGAGCAAACCTATCTGAGTTCTCTGGCTTCTCTCTGCATTTAAGATAATGGGTTTTGAAATTCAAATGCAAATGTAACAGCTAAATCTGCTCAGGTAAAGTACTTTTTGATACATTGCTGGATGTATTATCCTTCAGGCTAATAAATAATTAGCACTATTTTTATAATATTTTTGAAGTGGTGATTTGTACATTTTTATTAAGAGAAATAATTCACATACCATAAAATTCACCCATTTACAGTGTGCAATTAAATGGATTTTAGTATTTTTAACAGACTCATGTAACTATCACCCCTAATTTCATCACCCCAAAAAGAAACTCCATACCTATTAGCAGTCATTCTCCATTCTCCTCCATTGCACCCCAATCCTATGCAATCACTAACCTAATTTCTGTCTCTAAGGATTTGTCTATTCTAGTAGACATTTTATATAAATGAAATCATACAATATAGGGTCTTTTTGACTGAATTATTTATCTTAATATATATTGTTTTCAAGGTTAATCCATGTTGTGCTTCATTCTTTGTTATAAATGAATAACAATCTACTATATGGATATAACACCTTTTGTTTGTTCCTCAGACGGAAATTAGAGTTGTTTCTACTGTTTGGCTATTATAAACAACGCTGCTATGGTAATTTGTGTACAATTTTTTGTGTGTGTGCGTGGATATGTTTTAATTTCTCCTGGATACCTACGAGTAGAATTTATATGCATTTTAAACCTGTGTTAAGATAATTATTGAATTATTTTTGTAAATGAGTAAACACAAAGAGATTTCTGCTGCATGGAAAATTACAGCAGAAAGAGAAATGTCTTACATTTACATAAGTTACAAGATGTTTTCAAATAGTTACGTCAAATATTCTCGGAAATTGCTCTGAATGAGGAAGCAAAGGTCCACTTTTTCCCATCTCACAGATAAGAAAATGGACCACTCTGAGAAACCTGGCTTAAATCTTGCATCAGGCAAATGAGAGAGGAAAGGAGAAAAACCCTTATTTCCACATTCTTTCCAAAATTACCTGGTTCTTTAGTAGGGGATTATTATGTTTTTATACCTATAGAAATTTTAAAAAGTTAGTAATAAAGATATCTTTATAAAATCTGGCTAGTTATGTAGCAAATTCATTTTTCTTTTTTTATGGATAAATGAAGAAATTAAGATACTTTATTTAATCTATAGGTCTGTTATTCCTTTACTTTCACTATGATATGTATATGTGTGTATATATATGTATATCTATGTCTGTATATATGTACACATACCCATTGGAAAAAATATATGTGTATATTCCTACATATCTGGTCCTTTGACCTTTCCCTTTTTTCCTAATCTTTCTATACAGTGATACTTGGACTGCTAAGTAATTTTGAATAAAATTACAAAATAGAATGCCATTGTATCACTTTCAGGTTTTCCACCTCAATTGGGCTCTCAGAATGATTCAGCAAATAGTTTTTTCTGTTTTTGGTTGATCTCTACTTTGAGGATATTGTGAGTTATCAGAAGCAATGGGCACATCACATGTGATATCTCCATCTGGATATCAAACCTTTTAGTGCAAGTGGTGCTTCATGTGCCTTTCCCCTCTAATGTCTACTAGAGTGACTTGCACATTGAAGGTACCCAGTAGATATTTGCTGATTAAGATTATTATGTCTCACTAATATCCAGCTCATGATTTAAAGTAACTATGACCAAACTCTTAGGAAGCAGACCTTTGTTTACACTTTTTCAGGCAATAATATAACATAGACAATATTTGATTATATGTGTCAGGAAGTTGATAGAATCACCAAAATATTTGTATATTTTACTGTTATACAAACCTTGATCATGGCTGAACATTTTATAGCAATTAATTTTGATACTAACCAGTAAAAAGAATCTTACTACCTTAATTTTCAAATTTGGAGGAGTTAGCTACATTCACACCTAAACTATCACTGGATCTGATCCTGGTGTTTTCCCCAATGAAGTCCAAAAGGATCTGATGGTTCATGGCCCAATTTAGTTTACACTTTTATTATTGGTTTTTATTAGTGGGTACTAGGTAAACAAATAAGTACCTAACTTTGACCTTTAATTTTACTTTGATAATGGTGAACATGTGCTTTTTAAAATTTTTTTGAGACAGGGTCTCACTCACATCACTCAGGCTGCAGTGCAGTGGTGTGATCATGGCTCACTGCAGCCTCGACCTCTCAGGCTCAAGCGATCCTCCCACCTCAGTCTCCCCAGTAGCTGTGACTATAGGTGCATACCACCATGCTCAGCTAATTTTCAAAATTTTTTTATAGAGATGGGATTTCACCATGCTGCCCAAGCTAGTTTCAAATTCTTGAGCTAAAGCAATTCTGTCCACCTTGGCCTTCCAAAGTGCTGGGATTACAGGCATGAGCCCAACATATAAGTTTTTGAAAATGTGTCCAATACAAGATAAATGTGCTAAGAGCTAAAAGTGAGAAGGGCAGGTGTAATCATTGCTCTGGCTTTTCTCTCTCTTCAGAGTTAGAGTCATTCATACCCTTTATATTTGTTCTGGAAAATTAGTTAAATATAAGATGAGACAAATGTGAGAATGGGTAGAAAGAAAGGAGGAAACAAGTCTGACCTACTGTTTTATTTCACACTACCTTGTTTTACTCACGGCCAAACATGTTATCCTTAAGATAGTGACTAAATCTTAACTAAATTATAACAGATACATTTCAATCACCAGTCCCAATCCACCTATATGCAGCTTTAGTTATTCATTTATATATATCTTTAAGGGATTAATTTTACATGTCAAGTTCTATTGTACGCAGAAGCAATAATGTTGAGGGCCCCTCTAGGATGGCTTCAACAGAAATAATAAATATATACGGAGTAATAAACATGTTGCTCTTGAACCAGACACATATTTTGATGAGTTACAATTAGCAATTATCTTGGCAAGTGTCATTTACAGACAGAATTTTTACAGTAGAATGTATTCTGTTGAAAACACAAGCTTTCTTCAAAGTCACTCAGTATAGCTATCATGTGCAACTGATAATGAGTAAGTTAACTGGTCCATTGTTAGCTTTCTAATAAGCCTTTAGATTTAAAAACCCATAAATACAAGGTACTGATTCCACAGTCCTACAAATAAAAATAAAGCCATTTTCTTATGACATCACATAATTAAATGGTTGGATATTGTAATTCCCAGGCATCTTCATGTTCTATGGCAGTAAGAACTGGAAAATTCAAAGCAACCATGCATCCATTGTAACAAACAGAAAAACAAAAGAGACGCATTTTAATAATGATATATCAAAATGAATTATCATTTTTATAGTGAGAAATAGCCAATAATGTATGACTGTATTACAAGAGTATTTTAACAGTAGTCAGCTTAATTCACTGCATGGAAGACATAAGCAGTTTCACTTTCCTACTACTTACTTAAAATTATTATTTGCCTGGAAAGCACTGATTTACTATCACCAACTTACTTGTATTTCAAAGGTCCCCAACTCGGCAAGCTTGTGGCCTTATCTTGACAGCCCTGCTATGTTCATATGTTCTTTTAGTTGACACAAAAGAGTTCAACCTGAAAGCATACAACCAGAGTTTATTCCTCACAAAATCAGATTTCTGCTAGTGCAGCACTGCACATTTCATCAGCTATTTGGAGTAGCATGGTCTTTGGGGTATCTTCTCCTACATGCTGGCAGGAAAAGAATCTTGAGACATAGCTCAGTGCTGCTGACATGTCACACTGTTTATGTGACCAGGGAAGCTTCTGTTTCTGATAGAGGTAACAGGGGTTTGCTAGTCAATAATTGGATAAGAATATAGAGGCTTCTTTGCACAGAGGAAAGAAACTAACATGTTTCTACCTGTTGCCTGTGCCTCATTAGCTCTGTACATGCAAAAGGAGCATCAATTCATTAGCTCAGCTGGGTTGAAATTTCTGATGATGACTAGGCATAAACAAGTAAGAAAATAAAAGGAAACAGGATATCCAAGGGCATGGGATGGGAGGAGAAGGAAGCCCATGTTTTCCAAAAGGGAAGAAAGAAAGGTGGTATGCTTGATGGTATTTTCAAGACCAGCTGACCTTGGCATTTGTTCTGCTTGGCTGCCATAACAAAATACCATAGATTGGTGGCCTCAACAATATATATTTACTTCTCAAAGTTCTGGGGCTGGAAGTCCAAGATCAAGGTTCCAGCAGCTTCAGTTCCTGGTGAGGGTTCTCCTCCTGGCTTGCAGAAGCCACTCTTGCTATATCTTCATATGATCTTTCCTCAGCATGTGATCTCTTAAAAGGAGATTTCTTTTCCTTCTTCTTCTAATAAAGCCACTAATTTTATCATGAGAGCTTCACCCCGCATGACCTAATCTAACCCAAATTTTCTCTCAAAGGTCCTATCTTCAAATATCATCATACCAGAAATTAGAGCTTTAACATATGCAATATGGAGAGGACATGATTCAGTTCATAACAGCATTTAAGGCCTGAAGTCTTTTCTTGGTGAAGTGATTATGTAGGGTGCTGGATGCAGAAAGGAGATTCAGGATCAGAGCTGGGCATGGAGGAGGGTCAGGGCTGCCTGTTATCTACAGAGCCTGGAGCCAAGAGAGATGCAAAAGGCAACTAGGGACCAAGGGCAAAATCAAGAGCCAACCCCCAAATCCAAAGAAAGAATACTCCAAAGGGGTTAGTCTCAGAAGAAGGAAAATTGAAGTCACCAAAGCTGAGCAAGTAGGTGTAGAAGAGATGTTTAAGAGGCAGAGCCTCATAGGAGTTCCTGAAGAGCTGCAGTATGACTCCATGTGTGCCTCTGGCAGTAGTGGGAGGGAGAGGTTAAGAAGAACAAAGAACACATAAATATATAAAGAGAAAATTGATTAGTGGCTTCCAAAGAGATCCTGGCTTCTGTAAAGACCTTAGAGAGTTCAATCATTTGCATGTGCATAAAATATCTAGGAAGACACCTAGAAATTAGGAAGATTGGTTGTCTCTGAAGAGGGGGAGTAAGTGACAGTGGCTTTGGGCTGGAGGGGGAGGGAGACTTTTCACTGTGCTCTCTTTTGTATTTTTTAAAATTCTGAGCTACTGGACTATAACAAAGGAAAAAGTAGTATCACTTAAAATTATATGTTATTACTACTACTATTATTATTATTATTATTTGAGCCCAGGCTGGAGTGCGGTGGAATGATCTTGGCTCGCTGTAACCTCCGCCTCCCAAGTTCAAGTGATTCTCCCACCTGAGCCTCTCTAGTAGCTGGAACTACAGGCATGCACCACCACACCCAGCTAATTTTTTATATTTTTAGTAGAGACTGGGTTTCACCATATTGGCCAGGCTGGTCTCGAACACCTGACCTCAAGTGATCTGCCTGCCTTAGCCTCCCAAAGTGCTGGGATTATAGCCACTGTGCCTGGCCATCACTTAAAAACTTTAGGAGATATACCTAATGCTAAATGACGAGTTAATGGGTGCAGCACACCAGCATGGCACATGTATACACATGTAACTAACCTGCACATTGTGCACATGTACCCTAAAACTTAAAGTATAATAATAATAAAATAAAAAAATTTTTAAAAGGAAATAAATAAAGTAAAATTTAAAACTCAAAAAGAACTAGAGAGAGAGAGAGTGAGAGAGCACATTAAGAAGTAAGAAATGTAAAATTTTCTTCATGAGTGCTTCTAAGGCTAGCAACTATGGGCCCACTCTGCTATTTTCATCATGGAACTCCTGCTACTGAATTAGGAAAGGAAGTTGTAAAATTATATCAATGTCCCTGTTCCACTTTAAGTAAAAGCATCTTTATTTTTACCATGACCATGCCTCAAAAATTGGGCTCATATTCATATGAGAATTTTATATAAACAGCCTTCTTGTCAACTGAGTAGAATACTTGTTACTCACAATAAATCACTACCATTATTATCATAAAATACCTCTAATTTCTAACTGACACATCTTTACTAAATCCTTAAGCCACACCAAATTCTGAAAGCCACTATGTACATGGCCTAACCCAGACAGCACATAACACAGGTACACACGACATAATATTAGGATAATAACCAGTATAAGCCAAAGAGTGAACATATACTAAGTAGATAAGTTAAGTAGAGAAGATTCATAAATGGCAAATACTGAAGGCATCATAAAAATTCACCTCTCATCAGTTACTAGGAAAAGGTTCCTTGGGGAAGATAACTCGCTGTTGAGCAATTACAGAGAAGAGAGGAAATGCCAGGCATGTAACAGCTGAGAAGAACATTCAGAGATGAGTGAGAGAATTGGGTAAAGGCAGACTAAATAAATGTTCCAGGGAAAATGAATGTCCAGAGGCTGAAGAGTAGGAAGACAGTCAGCCTCACAGAGACTTGGGAGAAGAGGCTGGAGGATGGGCAGGACATAATAGCACATCATGTTCAAAATGCTAAACTGTACAGTTCCCATGGCAAATGGCAAGACCAAAAAACACATTGGCAGCAGCCTGAGAATGGATGAGGAGCCAGGGGAAGACAGTGCTTCAATTGAAAAAAAGGGGTTAGTAGTGCCAACGCTGCACAGGATGCAAGAAAAATAAGGACCTAGAAGAAGTCCTTTTTTATTTAGCTACAACATGATGATTGGAGACCTGAAGAGCAGAGTCAGGACAGGGTGTGGCAGAAGCAGTCTTCTGCGATTTTCAAGATGAATGTGGGTTGCAGATGTGGGGATACTGAGTGCAGACAAATCTTGGAAGCAAGACTGGAAAAGAAATGAGGAATAAAAATGGCTGAAAAAGTCAGAGAATAATTTGTTTTATTATTCAATAATAAATAATTTGTATTATTTATTTCAGATAATAATACATTCAAATAATAATAATCATAATTTCAGTATCTTCCACAGAAAAGGGAGAGAAGGCTAAGTTTTAGCTCCTTCTGTGGCCCCTACCTCAGGAGTAATGCCTTAAGTCAGGAGGTGGTTTTATATTTATGCATGTGTAGCATCTCTAGTAGCATAGCAGCGACACTGGGGAGCTCTGCAGAGGGATTAGCAGGTGGCAGAGGGTTAGGAATGGCCTCCAAGGCACCAGCAGGGGCAGCTGAGTGCGAGACCCAGGCAGGTGCTGAAGGACATTTCTATCTAATGCCTCATAGCAGTGGTGTTTAGAATCAACCATGCAGAGCCTGTGTTTCTTATCTATAAAATGATGGCAATAATACCAATTTTTTCACAGGTTTTTTCAATGAAGATTAAATGACATAGTGATTGCAATATGCTTAGCACAGTGTGTGGAAAATTGCTAGCTTTAGACAAGAGTCTTGACTCTTTCCATCCTCAACACCTTGGACCAAGCAAGTGTACGATCACCATGATGCAAAGTGTTCAGCATTTGCACAAAGTCTAGTGTGGTTCCATAGGTAAATGCACTAAGGT
Source organism: Homo sapiens (assembly GCF_000001405.40). Classification (NCBI taxonomy): domain Eukaryota; kingdom Metazoa; phylum Chordata; class Mammalia; order Primates; family Hominidae; genus Homo; species Homo sapiens. Next base: position 31,969,164 of record NC_000009.12, on the reverse strand, counting down.
GATTATGACAGTTATTTGACCTAAGGACTATGAGTGACAGTGAATGTAAATTCCAATGCTGTCAGTGTGAATCAATACATATCAGGAGCAATGATCCATTTACTTCTGGGTAATGAGAGAAAGTTATGATGTTGTGAATATATTATGGCTTCTTGGATTTTTTATTGCTTTTCCCATGCACTAATACAATAACAAGAAGCATGAATCATTTGCTTCTAGACTGCAAGAAGCTGCAAACTAGGTGTTGATTATTTTGTGTCAGAAAATCATTTCTGAAAGAAAAACAACCAGGATGGGACTATGGGATTTACTGACAAGTGCTTTATATTTGCTGCTATTCATATTAGGTGATTTGTCTCTGGAATCATTGGGTTCCTGTTTGGGAATAACACTTGTTATATTAGAAAGGCAGTGTGCAAAGTTAGTCAAATGTGAGCACTGAAAACAAATTTTACAAAGAATTGTGCATTATTTCAACCAACATTTTCTTGTGCCTACTATGTACCAAACTTTGTACTAGGTTTTGGAGTACAACATTCATATCACACATTCCCTGTGAAGATATTTATGTTACCGTGGCAGACAAAGCAATAAGGTAAATAGTAAATTTAATGACAGATGACAGTTTGGATATTAGGAGAGCTCAGAGGAGTGAATCTTTACATAGTCTTGAAGAGTCATGGTGTATGGTATCCCTTGCATTTTTTTCAGTTTTATTAAGATACAATTGACAACTAAAATTATATATATTTACAGTGTACAAGGTGGTATTTTTTGTTTGTTTTTAAAGTTTTTCAAAAAACTTTTATTTTAGGTTTGGGGGTACATGTGAAGGTATGTTACACAGGTAAACACGTGTCATGGGTTTTTTTGTACATATTATTTCTTCACCCAGGTATTAAGCCCGGTGCCCAATAAACGTCTTTTCTGCTCCTCTCCCTCCTCCCGCCCTACCACCTCAAGTAGACCCTAGTGTCTGTTGTTTCTTTCTTTGTGTTCATAAGTTCTTATCATTTAGCTCCAATTTATAGGTGAGAACATATGGTATTTGGTTTTCTGTTCCGGCATTAGTTTGCTAAGAATGATACATTCTAGCTCCATCTGTGTTCCGGCAAAAGATATGATCTTATTCTTTTTATGGCTGCATAGTATTTCGTGGTGTATATGTACCACATTTTCTTCATCCAGTCAGTCATCGATGGGCATTTAGGTAGATTCCATGTTTTTGCTATTGTAAATAGTGCTGCAATGAACATTGGCATGCAGGCCTTTATGGTAGAATGATTTATATTCCTCTGGGTATATACCCAGTAATGGGATTGCTAGGTCGAATGGTAGTGCTTTCCACAATGGTTGAACTAACTTACACTTCCATCAACAGTGTATAAGTGTTCCTTTTGCTCCACCACTCCACCAGCATCTGTTGTTTTTGGACTTTCTAGTAATAGCCATTCAGACTGGCATAAGATGGTATCTCACTGGCTTTTTGATTTGGATTTTTCTAATGGCCAGTGATATTGAGCTTATTATATGCTTGCTGGCCACATGTATGTCTTCTTTTGAGAAGTGGCTGTTCATGTTCTTTGCCCACTTTCTAATGGGGTTGTTTTTCTCTTGTGAATTTAAGTTCCTTATAGATGCTGGATATTAGACCTATGTCAGATGGGTAGTTTGCAAATATTTTCTCCCATTCTGTAGACTGTCTGTTTACTTTGTTGATAGTGTCTTTTGCTGTGCAGAAACTCTTAAGTTTAATTAGATCCCACTTGTTAATTTTTGCTTTTGTTGCAATTGCTTTTTGCATCTTTGTCATGAAATCTTTGCCTGTTCCTATGTCCAGGATAATGTTGCCCAGGTTGTCTTTCAGGGTTTTTATAGTTTTGGGTTTTACACTTAAGTCTTTAATCCATGTTGAGTTGATTTTTGTATACGGTGTAAGGAAGGGGTCCAGCTTCAATCTTCTGTGTATGGCTAGCCAGTTCTCCCAGCACCATTCATTAAACAGAGAGTCTGTTCTCATTGCTTGTATTGTTGTCAGCTTTGTTGAAGATCAGATACTTGTAGATGTGCAGCCTTATTCCTGGGCTCTCCATTCTGTTTCATTGGTCTATGTGCCTGTTTATATACTAGCACCATGCTGTGTTGGTTACTGTAGCCTTGTAGTAAAGCTGTAAGTCAGGTAACATGATGCCTTCAGCTTTGTTCTTTTTGCTTAGGATTGCCTTGGCTATTCAGGCTCTTTTTTGGCTCCATACAAATTTTAAAATATTTTTTGATAGTTCTGTGAAAAATGTCCTTGGTAGTTTGATAGGCATCACATTGAATCTGTAAATTGCTTTGGACAGTATAGCTATTTTAATGATATTATTTCTTCCTATCCATGACTATGGGATGTTTTTCCATTTGTTTGTGTCTTCTCTGATTTCTTTAAGTAATGTTTTGTAGTTATCATTGTAAAGATCTTTCACCTCCCTGGTTAGCTGTATTCCTAGGTATGGCTGTTATTGGTGTATATAAATGCTAGTGATTTTTGTATGTTGATTTTGTATCCTCAACTTTGCTGAAGTTTGCTGAAGTTGTTTATCAGCTGGAGGAGCTTTGGGGCTAAGACAATGGGTTTTTCTAGATGTAGAATCATGTTATCTGCAAATAGAGATAGTTTTACTTCCTCTCTTCCTAAATGGATGCCCTTTATTTCTTTTTCTTACCTGATTGCTCTGGCTAGGACTTCCAATACTATGTTGAATAGAAGTGGTGAGAGAGCATCCTTGTCTGTGCCAGTGTTTATTCTTTCTTTCTTTCTTTCTTTTTATAATTAAAGTAGCTTTCTTTTATTTTTCTATTCAACTTTTCTCTTAAGTTCAGGGGTACATGTGTAGGATGTGCAGGTTTGTTACAATGGTAAGTGTGTGCCATGGTGGTTTCCTGCACAGATCATCCCATCACCTACATATTAAGCCTAGCCAGCATTCATTAGCTATTCTTCCTGATGCTCTCCCTTCTCCCACTGCCCCCCAACTGACAGGCCCCATTGTGTGTTGTTCCTCCTCACATGTCCATGTGTTCTCATCATTCAGCTCCCATTTATAAGTGAGGACACATGGTGTTTGGTTTTCTGTTTCTGCATTACTTTGCTGAGCATAATGGCTTCCAACTCCATTCACGTACCTGCAAAATACATTATCTCATTCATTTTTATGGCAGCATAGTATTCCATGGTATATCTTTACCACGTTTTCTTTATCCATTCTGTTATTGATGGACATTTAGGCTAATTCTATGTCTTTGCTATTGTGAGTAGTGCAGCAATGATCATATGTGTGCATGTGTCTTTATAACAGGATGATTTATTTTTCTTTGGGTTATAGCCAGCAATGGTATTGCTTTGTGAAATGGTATTTCTGCCTCTAGGTCTTTGAGGAATTGCCACACCATCTTCCACAATGTTCGAACTAATTTATGATTCCACCAAAAGTGTACAGGTGTTCCTTTTTCTCTGCAACCTCACCAGGATATGCTGTGTTTTGACTTTTTAATAAAAAATCATTCTGGCTGGCATGAGATGGTATCTCATTGTGGTTTTGATTTGCAGTTCTTGAATCATCAGGGATATTGAGCTTTTTTTCATGTTTGCTGGCCACACGTATGTCTTCTTTTGAGAAGTGTTCGTTCATGTCCTTTGCCCACTTTTTAATAGGGCTGTTTGTTTTTTTCTTGTAAATATATTTAAGTTCCTTGTAGACTCTGGATATTAGATCTTTGTCAGATGGAGAGGTTGAAAAAACTTTATTCCACTTCGTAGGTTATCTCTTTTGCTCTGATGATAGCTTCTTTTGCTGTGTAGAAGCACTTTAGTTTAATTAGATCACATTTGTCAAGTTTTGTTATAGCTGCAATTGCTTTTGGCATTTTCATCATAAAACCTTTGCCTGTGCCTATGTCCTGAATGGTATTGCCTAGATATTCCTCTAGCATTTTTATAGTTTTGGGTTTTACATTTAAGTCTTTAATCCATCTTGGGGTAACTTTTGTATGTAGTATAAGGAATGAGTCCAGTTTCAATTTTCTGCATATGGCTAGCCAGCACTCTCAGCACCATTTATTAAATAGGGAGGTCCTTTTCCCATTGCTTGTTTTGTCAAGTTTGACAAAGATCAGATGGTTGTAGGTGTGTGGTCTTATTTCTGAGTTCTCTGTTATGTTCTATTGGCATATGTGTCAGTTTTTGTACCAGCACCATGCTGTTTTGGTTACTGTAGCCTTGTAGTATAGTTTGAAGTTGGGTAGCGTGAAGCCTCCAGCTTTGTTCTTTTTGCTTAGGATTGTCTTGGCTATTCAGGCTTTTTGGCTCCATAAGAAATTTTAAATACCTTTTGTAATTTTGTAAAGAATGCCAATGGTAATTTAATGAGAATAGCATTGAAATCATAAAATACTTTGGGCAGTATGGCCATTTTCAACAATATTGATTCTTCTTATCCATGAGAATGGAAGTTTCTTCATTTGTTTGTGTCCTCTCTGATTTGTTTGAGCAGTCACTGTAGTTCTCCTTGAAGAAGTCCTTCACTTCCCTTGTTAGCTGTATTCCTAGGTATTTTATGCTTTTTGTGGCAATTGTGAATGGGAGATCATTTATGATTGGGCTCTCAGCTTGCCTGTTGTTGCTGTATAGGAATGCTAGTAATTTTTGCACATTGATTTTGTATCCTGACACTTTGCTGAAGTTACTTACCAGCTTAATAAGCTTTTGGGCTGAGACAACAGGGTTTTCTAGATATAGAATCAAAGATAGTTTGACTTCCTCTCTTCCTGTTTGAATACACTTTATTTCCTTCTCTTGCCTGATTGCTGTGTCCAGAACTTCCAACACTATGTTAAATAGGAGTGGTGAGAGAGGGCATCCTTGTCTTAGACTGATTTTCAAGGGGAATGCTTGCAGCTTTTGACCATTCAATATGATATAGGCTTTGGGTTTGTAATATATGATGCTTATTATTTTGAGTTATGTTCTTTCAATACCTAGTTATTGAGAGTTTTTAACATGAAGGGATATTGGATTTTATTGAGGGCCTCTTCTGAGTCTACTGAGATAATCAAGTGGTTATGTATTTAGTACTGTTTATGTGATGAATTACATTTATTGATTTGCATATGTCGAACCAAACTTGCATCCCAGGGTTGAAGCTAATTTGATTGTGGTGGATAAGATTTTTGATGTGCTGATGGGTTTGGTTTGCCAGTATTTTACTGAGGATTTTTGCACTGATATTCATCAATGATACTGGCCTGAAGTTTTCTTGTTTTGTTGTGTCTCTGCTAGGTTTTGGTATCAAAATGATGATGGCCTCATAGAATGAGTTAGGGAGGAGTCTCTCTTTTTCTATTGTTTAGAATAGTTTCAGAAGAAATGGTATGAGCTCCTCTTTGTACCTCTGATAGAATTCGGCTGTGAATCCATCTGGTCCTGGGCTTTTTTTGGTTGGTAGGCTATTAATTACTGCTTCAATTTCAGAACTCGTTATTGGTCTATTCAGGGATTCAACTTCTTTCTTGTTTAGTCTTGGGTGGGTTTATGTGTCCAGGAATCTATCAATTTCTTCTAGGTTTTCTAGTTTGTGTGTGTAGAGGTGTTTGTAATAGTTTTTAATGGTTGTTTTTATTTCTGTGGGTTCAGTAGTTACAGTCCCTTTGTCATTTCTAATTGTGTTTATTTGAATCATCTCTCTTTTCCTCTTTATTAGTCTAGCTAGTGGCCTGTGCATTTTATTAATTTTTTCAAAATACAAACTCCTGGATTTGTTGATTATTTGCATGGTTTTTTGAGTCTTAATTTTCTTCAGTTAAGCTCTGATTATTGTTATTTCTCATCTTCTACTAGCTTTGGAGTTAATTTGTTCTTGCTTCTCTAATTCTTTCAGTTGTGAAGTTGGGTTGCTAATTTGAGATCTCTCTAACTTTTCTTATGTGGGCATTTAGTGCTATAAATTTCCTGCTTAACATTTCCTTAGCTGTGTCCCAGGGTTTCTGGTGTGTTTTATCTTTGTTCTTACTATTTTCAAAGAACTTCTTGATTTCTGCCTTAATTTCATTATTTACCTAAAAGTCATTCAGGAACATACTGTTTAATTTCCATGTAATTCCATGGTTTTGAGCTGTTTTCATTGTCTTGAATTCTGTTTTTATTGCACTGTGGTCCTAAGGTGTATTTGGTATGATTTTCATTCTTTCACATTTGTGGAGGATTGTTTTATGTCCAATGATATGGTCAACTTTAGAATGAATACATGACATGCAGTGAAAAGAAGAATGTATATTCTTTTGTTTTTGGGTAAAGAGTTTTGTAAAGGTCTCTCAGATCCATTTGGCTCAATGTTGAGTTTAGGTCCTGAATACCTTTGTTAATTTTCTGCCTTGATGGTGTGTCTGATATTCTCAGTGGAGTGTTGAAGTCCCCCACTATTTTTGTGTGGTAGTCTACGACTCTTTGTAGGTCTCTAAGAACTTGATTTCTAAATTTAGGTTCTCCTATACTGGGTGCGTATATATTTAGGATAGTTAGGTCTTCTTGTTGAATTGAATGCTTTACTATTATTTAACGCCCTTCTTTTTCTTTTTTGATCTTCGTTCATTTAAAACCTGTTTTGTCTAAAATTAGGATTGCAACCCCTACTTTTTTCTGTTTTCTATTTGCTTGATAGATTTTTCTCCATCCTTTTATTTTGAGCCTATGAGTGTCATTATGTGTGAGATGAGTCTCTTGAAGACAGCATACCATTGAGTCTTGCTTTTTTATCCAGCTTGCCACTCTGTCTTTTAAGTGAGGCATTTATCTTGTTTACATTAATGGTTTTATTGATATGGGTGGATTTGATCTTGTCATTGTGCTGTTAGCTGGCTATTCTGTTGGTTTGTGTAGTTGCTTTACCATGACACTAGTCTGCACATTTAAGTGTGTTTTTGTGTTAGCTGTTTCCAATCTTTCCTTTTTTTATTTAGTGCTCTTTTCAAGATCTCCTGTAAGGCAGGTCTAGTGATAATGAATTTCCTCAACATTTGCTTATATAAAAAGATTCTATTTCTCCGTCACTTAGGAAGTTTAGTTTGCCTGGATATGAAATTCTTAGTTGAAGATTTCTTTCTTTAAGAATGTTGAATATAGGCCTCAAATTTCTTCTGGCTTGTAAGATTTCAGCTGAGAAGTGCTCTATTAGCCTAATGAGTTTTCATTTGTAGGTGACCTGAGCTTTCTATCTAGCTGCCTTTAACATTCTTTCCTTCACCTTGACCTTGGAAAACTTGACAATTATGTGACTTGAGGATGATCTTCTTGTGGAGAATCTTGCAGGAATTCTCTGTACTTCCTGAATTTGACTGTTGGCCTCTCTAGCAAGGTTGGGGAAGTTTTCATGGGAGATATCCTGAAATATGTTTTCCAAGTTGTTTACTTTCTCCCTCCCCCTTTCAGGGATGCCAATGATGTATAGATTTGGCCTCTTTACATAATCCCATACTTTTCAGAGATTTTGTTCATTCCTTTTTATTCTTTTTATTTTCATTTTGTCTGACCATCTTATTTCAGAGGGCCAGTCTTCAAGTTCTGAGATTCTTTCCTCAGCTTGGTTTATTTTGCTGTTATTTAATAATACTTGTGATTGCATTGTGAAATTCCTGTATTTTGTTATTCAGCTCTGTCAGACCCACTAGGTTCTTTTTTATATTGGTTATTTTATCCCTCAGCTCCTGTATCACTTTATTGTTATTCTTATTTTCCTTGGATTGGGTATTGCCATCCTCCTAAATCTCAATGATCTTTGTTCCTATCCATATTCTGAATTCTATTTCTGTCATTCCAGCCAGTTCAGCCTTATTAAGAACTCTTGTTGGAGAACTGGTGTGGTCATTTGGAGGACATATAATACTCTGGCCATTTGAGTTGCCAGATTTCTTGCACTGTTTTTTTCTAATTTCTGAGTATGGGTGTTTCTTTAACTGCAGTATAGATTGAGTATAGTCAATAGACTTCTTTTCTGGATGTTTTCACTGGGCTGAGTCTTTTTCGCAGGGTCTTTATTTGATGCTGCCTTCTTGTCTCTGGTTTCAGAAGGGGGTATGTTAGTGAGGCATTTTTGGTGTTGAAGCTTTGGGGTGTGATCCAGCAGGTGGCAAGCTTATTGGTCAGTATGTAGACTCTTGCTCGGTGTGTGGCTCCCCTATATTTCCTCACAGTTGCAGCTATGTTCCCTCCTTGTGCTCTGAAAGTGTGGGCTCCTCTCCCCCATGAGTGCTGGTTGTAGACTGTGACGTGGCACTCCTAGGCTGCTCCCAGCAACTCTGGGGTGATTTTAGTCTTTATGTTTGTTCCCCAACTTGAAGGCAGCAGAGGAAAAGAACTCAGTAGTGGCTGTTTTTGAGGGTCATTTGCTTATCTTCTGGAGGCTTCACCCCAGAGAGATGCAGGTCAGTCAGCAATCACTCAGTGTAATCAGCCCACAATGGAGGGTTTGTGCTGTGGGCCTAAGCCAGGGGTTCCCTTTCTTGTGACAAGCAGTTTTAGGGGGGATGTGGGAGGGATGTTGGAGGTATGGATAAGGCACTTAGTGTCTTTGCTCTTTCATTAGTCCGAGGGTGGCAAAGGCAGTTCCACTGCAGAGGCAGTGGCAAAGAGGCTTTCAGTTGACCTGGAGGCTCTGTCCAGGGAGTTGCCAAGTTGCTACTGGTGCAATAGCTCTGATGTTGTGTGGCTGGAGGCCCAGGTCTGAAGGACCTGCCTGCGAGGAGATATGGGCATTGGCACCCATGTAGCAGTCTGGATTCTTTTCCACAGGGCTGCTGTGGTATGCTTGGGGCCCATGCCAGTTCCTACTCACCTTGGATTTTCCAGTACATGTAGGTATCACCAGTGAAGGCTATGAAACAGCAAAAATAGCAGCCTGTCCCTCCCTCTGGTAGGCCTGTTCTAGAGAGGCATGAGCCTGTTGCTGACCCAAAGACACCTGTAGGAGACATCAGTTGGGAGGTTCCCACCCAGTAAGGCAGAATGGGATTGGGGCCCCACTTAAAAAAGCACTCTGGCCACATTTTGGTAGAGTGACTGTGCTGTGCTGGGGATCCATTTCAGCCCCCAGTCACCTCAGACACTCTGAAGCCCAAAGGCTGGAATGGCGAAATCACCCAAACAGCAAAGATGGCGGCTCACCCCTCCCTCTGGGATCTCCATCCCAGGGAGGTTATAATTCTCTGTTGGCCAGAAAACACTGACAGTGGTGGCTGAGGGCCCTGGATGGGAGCTCCCACCCAGTGAGGAGGGGTGGAATCAGAAACCCACTTAAAGGAGCAGTCTGGCCACGTTTTGGTAGGGCAGCTGTGCTGTGATGGGAGATCCCTTCCATCCCTGGTTAGCTCAGACTCTCCAAAGTCTGAAGGCTAGATTGGCTAAGTTGGCCCAATAGCAAAGATGATAGTCCACCCCTCCCTCTGAGGGTGCTGTCCCAGGGAGAATCCAAATCTGTTGGCTGGAGAACATGAGAGGTGGGTAGCTACAGTACCTGGTTGAGATGTCCTTCTCAGTAAGGAGGAGGAATGGGATTTGGCACCCAATTAAAGCAGTAGTCTGGCCACGTTTTGGTGCAGCAGCTGTTTTATGCTGAAGAATCCCTTCCACCCCTGGTCAGCTCAGACTCTCAAAGACTAAAGGCTGGAATGGCTGAGGTGCCCAAAGAGCAAACATGTTGGCCTGTCCCTCCCATAGGGAGCTCCGTCTTAGGGAGGTGCAATGCTGCTACTGGTGGCTGGCTGGAATTCCAAGCTAGTGGGTCTTATCTTGTGAGGTGCTGCAGAAGTGGGGCCTGCAGGCTGGAAAGCCTGAGTATCTAAGGCTCCAGGGTCTCCACGCATTCCTGAGCAGCTGATCTGCTGAGACTTCACACAGCTCTGTCTGTCAGACTGAAGGCCCTGGTAAAGCAGGTTCACAAGGAGATCTCCTAACCTCAGGATTGCAAAGATCTGTGGGAGAAGCACGGTTTCCTGGGGTTGCACATTCACTCACCACTTCCCTGGGTAGGGGATGTTCCCCTGGCTCTCTGTTGTTACCGGGTGGGCTGTTGTTCTGTCTTGATCTTCTTCATTCTCTGTAGGTCAAGTTGTTTCCTTGATTAGTCTCAATGACAGTACCTGGATGTTTCAGTTGAATATGCTGTATTTACTCTCCCCTTTTGTTCCTGTGAGCCACACAGACTAGCTGCTTCTAGTTGGCCATCTTGGCCACAAGAAGCCAAATGTGATGTTTTGATATGTGTATACATTATGAAATGATTAAATCACATCAAGCATTATATTCATCACTTCACATACTTAACTTTTTGTGGTGAAAATATTTAAGATGTGCTGTCTTAGCAATTTTCAACTACACAATGTTATTATTAATTATAGCCATCATGCTGTACAACAGATATCTAGAACTTATTCATCGTAAGCAAAAATTTATACTCTCTAACCAATATCTCCCCATTCTCACTTCCCCATTGCCCAGCCCCTGGCAACCATATTCTGAACTCTGCTTCTATGACATTGACTTTTTTAGATTCCACCTGTAAGTGCAATCATGCAGTATTTGTTTTTCTGTGCCTGGTATTTTTCACTTAACATTAATATCCTCCAGGTTTATCTGTATTGACAGAATTTTCTTCTTTTGAAAGGCTGAATATATATATATATATATATATATAAAATCACATTTCTTTACCCATTAATTCATTGATGGGCACTTACGTTAATTCCATATCTTGGTTATTGTGAATACTGCTGCAACGAACATGGGAGTGAAGCTATCTCTTTAAGATCCTAAATTTATTTACTTTGGATATATGTTCAGAAGTGGGACTGTTGGATCATACAGTAATTCTATTTAAAAATTTTTAAGAAACCTCCCTACTGTTTCCCATGTCTGTACTAATTTACATTTCCAACCACGGTAGACAAGGGTTTCTTTTTCTCTACATTTTTGCTCAAATTTATCACTTATCTTGTTGATCATAGCCATTTTAGCAGGTGTTAAGATGATGTCTCATTATAATTTTGTTTGGTTTTTTAAAACAATCAACATTTCTTCCATCGACAACCTTCTTTATTTATGGAGCTTTCAATTTCTGCACTATATATTCTACACTGTCTTCTATTCCCTTTAGAACTTCTTTTTAACATTTCTTGCTGGAGTAGGCTACTGGTATTTAACTTACTCAGCTATGTTTCTCTGAAAAATCTTTTGTTTTTTCACTTTAAAAAGATTATTTTATTGGGTTTAAAATTCTTGGTTGGTGTTACTTTTCTACAACATTTTGGAAATTTTATATTATTCTTGTCTCAGTTACACGGTTTCTGGTGAGAAGTATACTGTAATTAAGTTATTGTTCCTCCTTGGGTAATGAAGTGTGTGTATTTGTGTGTGTGTGTGTGTGTGTGTGTGTGTGAGTGCTTATGTATATGTGTATACAACTCTGGCCTCTTAACATTTTGTCTCTAGTTTTCTTCAGTTTGGTAATGATTTTTCTAGGGTTTTGTTTGTTCTCATTTGTTTTGGCATTTAATCATGTTTGTTATTCTTTGAGTTTACTATATTTGTGGTTTGGTGTCTGTCATTAATTTTGAAAAGTTCTTAGCCATTATTTATATATTTCTCCTAATTCTGTTCTCTCTTTTCTCCTTATGGGATGCCAATTATAAGTATGTTGTACCTTTTAATTTTTTTCTTTATATGTTGAATGTTCTCTCTTTTTGATTTTCATTATTTTCTCTCTCTCTCTCTCTTATTTATTTATTTGCCCATTTTCATTAGGGAAGTTTCTATTGCATTGTCCTCTAGCTCACTGATTATTTTTCTTGGCCATGCCCAGTGTAATGCAATGAGTTCATCAAAAGCATTCTCCACTTTGGTTACATGTTTTTTATATCTGGCATTTCCTTTTGATTCTTTCAAGAGTTTAATCTTTGGTCTTATACTATCCATCTGTTTCATTGTGATTTTAATTTATTTCTCTAATGATTAGTGATGTTGGGCCTTTTTCCATGAATGTATTGGGCATGTGGTATGTCTTTCTTTTTTTATAATTTTTCCCCTTTCTAAATGGTGTATATTTAAGGTGTACCACATGATGTTTTGATACACTTATAAACAGTGAAATGGTTACTGCAACCAAGCAAATGAACATATTCATTATGTCACATAGGTCTTTTTTGCGGTTAAGAGCATGTAAAATCTACTCTCATAGCAAATGTAGAGTACACAATATTATTAACTATTGTCCTCCTCATGCTATACATTAGATCTCTACATATTCATTTGACATAACTGCAACTTTTTACTCTTCAACCTATATTTCCTTATTTCCCCTACTGTCTCCATATCTGATAACCACCTTTCTACTCTGTTTCTATGTATTTAAGGTTTTTTTAGATTCTACATATAAGTGAGATCATGCTGTCTTTTTCTTTCAGTGCCCGGCTTATTTCACTTAGCATAACTCACCCCAGGTTCATTCATGTGTTCACAAAACACAGAATATCCTTCTTTTTAAAGGCTGGCTAATATTTCATTGTTCATATACACCATAATTTTCTTAAGCCTTTTATCTATCCATGCAAACTTAGGTTGTTTCCATGTCTTGGCTATTGTGAATAATGCTGTGATGACCAAGAGAGTGCAAATATCTCCAAAAGGTGCTGATTTCATTTCCTTTGTGTATATATTTAGAAAAGGGATTGCTGAGTCCTATGATAGTTCTGTTTCACTTTTTCTGAAGAACTTCTTTAGTGTTCTCCATAATGGCTGTGCCAATTTACATTACTACCAATAGAGTATAAGGACTCTTTTTTCCACATCCTTGCCAATATTTGTTATCATGTCTTCTTGATAATAGTCATTCTAAAAGGTGTGAGGTGATACCTCATTGTAGTTATAATTTGCATTACCCTAATAATTAGTGATGTTGAGTACATTTTCATAGGCCTGTTGACCATTTTTAATGTCTTCTTTGGAAAACTGTCTATTCTAGTCATTTGCCCATTTTAAAATCAGGTTATTATTACTATTTTCTATCAAGTCATGTGAATTACTTACATATTTTTGAGTATTAGTCCCTTTTCAGATATATAGTTTGAAAATATTCTATTAGTTCATAGGTTGCCTTTGCATTTTGTTGATTGTTTCCTATATGGAAGCTTTTTAGTTTGATATAGTTTACTTTTGCTTTTGTTGTCTAAGCATTTGGTGTGATATCCAAAAATATTACTGCCTAGGCCAAAGTCAAGAGCTTTTTCCAATGTCCTTTAGAAATGTTAGTTTCAGATCTTATTTATAAGTCTTCAATTTATTTTAAGTTGATTTTTGTGTATAAGATAAACATATAGTTTCATTCTTTTTCATGTATATATTTAGTTGTCCTAACACCATTTATTGAAGAGACTAATCTAATTTCAATTTTGTATTCCTGGCATCCCTGTTAAAAATTAGTTGACCATATATGCTTGGGTTTACTTTGGGGCTCTCAAATCCGTTCCATTAGTCTATGTGTCTGTTTTTATGCCAGTACCATACTCTTTGAATACTATAGCTTTGTAGTATAATTTGAAATTAAGGAATGTAATGCTTCCAACCTTTTTTTCCTTAACATTTATTTGGCTCTTGTGCAGTATTTTGTGATTCTGTATACATTTTGTGGAGTATTTTGTGGTTCCATATAAATGTTAGAATTTTTTTTCATTTCTGTGGAAAATATTATTGGAATGATGATGAAGTATGCTTTGCATATGTAGATTGTTTTGAGTAGTATGGGCATTTTTACAATATTAATTATTCCAAATCTATTATCATGAAATATCTTTTCATTTATTTATATCATGTTCAATTTTTTGATTCATGTTTTATAGTTTTCAGTGTACAGGTCTTTCATTTCCTTATTTAGATTCATTTCAAAATTTTTTATTCTTTTTGATGCTATTGTAACTGAGACTTTAAAAACTTTCATTTTGAGGTAAGTCATTATTGGAGTAAAAAATGCAACTGAGTTTTTTAATGTTAATTTTGTATCTTGTAACTTTATTGAATTCATTTTGTAGGTCTAACAGTTTTTTGGTGGTATCTTTAAGGTTTTCTACATATAAGCTCATGTCATCTACAAATAAAGATATTTATTTCTTCTTTTCAGATTTGGATACTCTTATTTTCTTTTCTTGTCTGATTGTTCTTACTAGTACTTTCAGTGCATGTTGAATAGAAATGGCAATAGAAGGCATTCTTACCTTGTATTGGATCTTAAAAAAAAGCTTTAATGTTGTCTCCACTGATTATTATGTCAGCTTTGGATTTTTTATAAATGGCTGTGATAATTTGAGAAAAAATTTCTTCTATATCTAAATTTTTGAGAGTTTATATCAAGAAAGGGTGTTGAACTTTTTGATATGTATTTTCTTGATGTATTGAGATGATCATGTGGCTTTTTGTTCTGTTGCTGTGGTGTATTACATTGATTGATTTGCATATGTGAAGCCAAACTTCCATCCCAGGGATAAATCCTACTTGATCATAATGTATCATTTTTTGAAATGTTGTTGAATAATGGTTTGCTACTATTTTGTTGAGGATTTTTGCATTAATGTTCATGAGAAACATTTCATTAGAAATATTAATGTTTGTTAGAAATATTTGAATCTTTGCTCCTTTTTCAGTCTAGCTAAAGGTTTGTCAATTTTATCTTTTCAAGATCCAAGTTAGTTTTGTAATCTTTTCTAGTCTCTATTTATTTATGCTCTAATCTTTATTTCCTTCATTCTATGAAATTTAGGCTTAGTTGTTCCTCTTTTCCTGATTCTATCAGGTTTAATGCTAAGTTGTTGTGTTTTTTGAGACCTTTCTTCTTTTTTATGTAAGCATTTATTACAGATATCCCTCTTAGAACTGCTTTTGCATAATCCCATAGGTTTTGGTACATTGTATTTTCACTTTCATTTGTCTAAAAATATTTTTAAATGTCTTCTTTGATTTATTCTTTGACCCACTTGTTGTTAAAGAGTATATTGTTTAACTTCCATATATTTATGTATTTTCTGAAATTCCTTCTATTATTGATTTTTACTTTTATACCATTATAGTCAGAAAAGATACTTGATAGTATTTTAATCTTTTAAAATTTGTTAAGGCTTGTTTTATGGTCTAACCTATAATCTATTCTGGAGAATGTTCCATGTTTTCTTGAAAAGAAATGTGTTATATGCTGCAGTTAGATGGAATGTTCTGTATGTGAAATAAGTCTCTTGTAGGTAACAGACAGTTGGGTCTTTTTTAAAAAAAGTCCATTCAGCCACTTTATGTTTTTTGATAGAGGTTAGTCTATTTACATTTAAAGTAATTATTAACAGGTAGGGATTTACTATTGCCATTTTAAAAATTGTTTTCTGGGGCCGGGAGTGGTGGCTCACGCCTGCAATCCCAGCACTTTGGGAGGCCGAGGCAGGTGGATCATGAGGTCAGGAGATTGAGACCATCCAGGCTAACATGGTGAAACCCTGTCTCTGATAAAATACAAAAAATTAGCCAGGCATGGTGGCGGGTGCCTGTAGTCCCAGCTACTCTGGAGGCTGAGGCAGGAGAATGGCATGAACCTGGTAGGCAGAGCTTGCAGTGGGCCGAGATCACGCCACTGCACCCCAGCCTGGGCGACAGAGTGAGACTCCGTCTCAAAAAAAAAAAAGAAAATTGTTTTCTGTGTGTACTGTAGATCCTTTGTTTTTTTTTTTTATTTCTTGCTCATTTTCATTGTAAAATAACGTGTATTATTTTGGAGTGGTATGCTTTGATTATTTTCTCTTGTTCACTGTGTGTCTGCTATATGCTTTTGCTTTGTGGTTATAATTAAGCTGACATAAAACCTCCTATAGTTATACCAGACTATTTTAAGCTGATAGCAACTTAACTTCAATTGTGTACATAAAATCTAGTTTTACTTTCCCAAGTGTTTTATGTTTTAGATGTCATACTGTACATCTTTGTATAAAAATTAACAAGTTATTATAGCTGAGGTTTTTGTAATAATACTTCTGTCTTTTAACCTTCATATTAGTTATACATAATTTACATACCATTATTAAAATATTAAAAATATTAAAGTATTCTAGACCAGGTGCGGTGGCTCATGCCTGTAATCCCAGCACTTTGGGAGGCCAAGGCAGGTGGATCACCTGAGGTCAGGAGTTTGAGACCAGCCTGACCAACAAGGAAAAACCCCGATTCTACTAAAAATACAAAATTTGCTGGGTGTGGTGGTGCATACCTGTAATCCCAGCCCCTCGAGAGGCTGAGGCAGGAGATTCGCTTGAACCCAGGAGGTGGAGGTTGTGGCAAGCCAAGATCGTGCCATTGTACTCTAGCCTGGGCAACAAGAGCAAGACTTTGTCAAAAAAAAAAAAAAATGAAGTATTCTGAATTTGACTTTGTACTTACTTTTACCAAGGAGTTTTCTACATTTATGTTTTTATGATAATAATTAGCAACCTTTCATTTATGATTGAAGAACTCCCTTTAGCACTTCTTGTAAGGCAGGTCTAGTGATAATCAACTATCTCAGCTATTTTTTGTAAATCTGGAAAATACTTCCTTTTTCCCTCATATGAGAAGGACAGCTTTGCCAGGTAAAGTATTCTTGAGTGGCAGTTTTTGCTTTCAACAGTTTGAATGTATTATCTCACTCTACCCTGGTCTGCGAATTTTCTGCTGAGAAATTCACTAATTGCCTTACTCAAGTTTCTGTGTATATCATGTGCTTATTTTTTCTTGCTGCTTACAGAATTCTTTATCACTGATTTTTAAAAAAATTTCAACTTTTACTTAAGTTACAGGGGATACAGGTTAGTTACATGGGGATAATGAATGATGCTGAGGTTTGGGGTGTGAATCTTTTCACCCAGGTAGTGAGCATAGTACCTTCATAGGTAGTTTTTTAAGCCCCCTTTTTAACCTACATCCCCAGTAGCCTACAGTGTCTATTGATCCCATATTTATGTACATGTGTGCTCAATGTTTAGCTCTCACTTATAAGTGAGAACATGTGGTGTTTGGTTTTCTGTTCTTACATTAATTTGCTTAGAATTATGGCCTCCTGCTGCATTTATGCTGCTGTAAAGGATTTTTTTGTTTTTGTTTTATGGCTCTGTAGTATGCCATGTTATATATGTGCCACATTGTCTTTATCCAATCTATCACTGATGGGCATCTAGGTTGATTCCAGGTCTTTGCTATTGTGAATAATGCAGCAATAAATTTATGAGTGCATATATCCTTTTGGTAGAATGATTTATTTTACTTAGGACATATACCCATTAATGGGATGGCTGGGTTGAATGATAGCTCTGTTTTAAGTACTTTGAGAAATCTCAAGGCTGTTTTCTACAGTGGCTGGACTAATTTACATTCTCACCAACAGTGTATAAGCATTCCCTTTTTTTCAGCAGTTTCACCAACATCTGTTGTTTTCTGACTTTTGAATAGCCATTCTGACTGGCGTGAGATGGTATCTCATTGTGGGTTTGATTTGCATTTTTCTAATGATTAGTGATACTGAACATTTTTTATAGGTTTGTTAACCACTCATATGTCTTCTTTTGAGAAGTGTCTGTTCATGTCCTTTGCTCATTTATAATGAGATTACTTGCTCTTTGCTTTTTGACTTAAGTTCTGCATAGATTCTTGATATCAGGCCTTTGTCAGATGGACAGTTTGTGAATATTTTCTCTCATTCTGTAGGTTGTCCATTTACTCTGTTGACAGTTTTCTTTTCTTTTCTTTTTTCTTTTTCTTTGCATTTTGCCCCTGCCCTGGGGATCTGTGGAACTTTGAACTTGGGAGAGATAATTTAGGGCATTTGGTGGAATTTCTTAGCAGCATGTTCAAGATGTAGCCTGGTTGCTTCCAACCACCTATGCTCATATGCATGAGCAAATAAATGGCCTGAAACTGGAACTTATATTTAAAAGGGAAGCAAAACATAAAAGTTTGGAAAATTTGCAGCTTGGCCATGTGGTAGAAAAGAAAAAACCCATTTTCAGAGGAGGAATTCAAGCAGGCTGCAGAAATTTGCATAACTAAAAGCAAGCCAAATGCTGATAACCAAAACAATGGGGAAAAGGCCTCCAAGGCATTTCAGAGACCTTTGTGGCAGCCCCTCCCATCACAGGCCTGGAGGTCTGGAAGGGAAGAATGGTTTCATGGGCTAGCCCAGGACCCTGCCACTCTGAACAGCCTTGGGACACTGGTCCCTGCATCCAAGCTGCTTCAGCTCCAGCCGTGGCCCAAAGGGACCCAGGTATAGCTCAGGCTGCTGCTTCAGAGGGTGCAAGTTATAAGCCTTGGCAGCTTCCACATGGTGCTAAGTCTGCAGGTGTTGAGAGTGCAAGAGCTGAGGCTTGAAAGTCTCTGCCTAAATTTCAGAAGACGTATGGAAAAGCCTGGATGACCAGGCAGAAGCCTGCTACAGGAGTGGAGCCCTCATAGAGAACATCTACTAGGGTACTGAAGATGGGTAATGTGGGACTGCAGCCCCAATACAGAGTCCTCACTGGGGCATTGCCTAGTGGAACTGTTAGAAGAGGGCCACCGTCCTCCAGACCTTTGAATGGTAGAGCCACTGACAATTTGCACCAACACCACAAGACACAAGCACTCTCAACACCAGCTCATGACAGCAGCCACAGTCGGAGAGCTGCTCAAAACCTGGGAACCCACTTCTTGCACCAGTATGCTCTGGATGTGAGACAGAGAGTCAAAGGAGATTATTTTGGAGCTTTAACATTTAATGACTGCCCTGCTGTGTTTTGGACTTGCATGGGGACTGTAGTCCCTTTCTTACAGCTGATTTCTCCCTTTTGGAATGGTAGTATTTATCCAATGCCTATACTCCCATTGTATTGTGGAAGTAACTAACTTGTTTTTTATTTTATAAGCTCATAGGCAGAAGGAACTAGTCTTGTCTCAGAAGAGACTGTGGACCTTGGACTTTTGAGTTAATGCTAGAATGAGTTAACACTTTGGGGGATGATAGGGAAGTCATGATTGTATGTGGAAATGGAAGAAAGACAGGAGATTTTGGAGGGGCCAGGGGCAGAATGATATGGTTACGATCTGTGTCCACACCCACATCTCATGGTTAGTTGTAATACCAGTGTTAGAGGCAGGGCCTGATGGAAGGTTACTGGATCACAAAAGTGAATCCTTCATGAATGGTTTAGCACTATTCCTTTAGTACTGTTCTTTTGATAGAGTGCTCAGGAGATTTGATTGTTTAAAAGTGTGTAGCACTTCTCCCCTCTCTCTCTCTTTATCCTGCTCTGGCCATGCATGTAAGACTTGCCTGCTTCTCCTTTGCTTTCCACCATGATTCAGAGTTTCCTGAGACTTCCCCAGAAACACATGCCAGCATCATGCTTCCTGTACAGCCTACTGAACTGTGAGCCAATTAAACTTCTTTTCTTTATAAATTACCCAGTCTCAGGCATTTCTTTATAGCAGTGCAAGAAGGGATCAATACAGTCCCACTTGTCAATTTTTGTTTTTATTGAAATTGCTTTTGGAGACTTGGCCAAAAATTCTCTGCCAAGGCTGATGTTGAGAGTATTTCTGAGGCTGTGTTCTTGAATTTTTATAATTTGAGATCCTACATTTAAATCTTTAATTTTTATTTTTTTCATTTTTTTGAGATGGAGTCTCCCTTTGATGCCCAGGATGGAGTGGAGTGGCGCAATCCTGGCTCACAGCAACTTCCGTCTCCTGGGTTCAAGCAATTCTCCTGCCTCAGCCTCCTGTGTAGCTGGGATTACAGGCTTGGACTACCATGCCCAGCTAATTTTTGTATTTTTAGTAGAAATGGGGTTTTGCCATGTTGGCCAGGCTGGTCTTGAACTCCTGACCTCAGGCAATCTGCCCACTGTGGCCTCCCAAAGTGCTGAGATTACAGGTGTGAGACACCATGCTCAGCCTCTCTTTAATTTTGAGTTAATGTTTTATATGATGAAAGGCAGGGGTCCAGCTTCAGTCTTTCCTATATGGCTATCTGGTTACCCAGCCCCATTTATTGAATAGGGAGTCCTTTCCCCATTGCTTGTTTTTGTTGGTCTTGTCAAAGATCAGACGGTTGTAGGTTTGTGGCTTTATTTCTGAGTGTCTTTGATTTTTGACAGGTCAATCATACTATGTTTTGGTGAGGTCTTCTTTAGGGTGAATGAATTGAAGACTTTTGAGCTTTATATACCTGGATGTTTACATTGTTCCCTAGATTTGGGAAGTTTTCAGCCTCTATATTTTAAATAAGCTTTCTGTCATTTTGTTTCTCTTCTCCTTGTAGAAATTCTGTAATACAAATTTAATTCTTTTGATGGTGCCCATAGATTAAACAGGCTTTCTTCATTCTTTTTTCTGAAAAGAAAAATAATTATAAATCATCCTCTGACTGGGTTTATTTATTTTTTATTCTTCTTGTTCTATCTATCTCTCTCTATCTCTGGGTTTATTTATGTTTTATTCTTCTTGTTCTAGTCTGCTGTTGAAGTTCCCTATTAGATTTAATTCAGTCATTGTGTTCTTTGGCTTCAAAATTATGTCAAATTTACAAGCAAAAAACAAACAACCCCATCAAAAAGTGGGCGAAGGATATGAACAGACACTTCTCAAAAGAAGATATTTATGCAGCAAACAGACACATGAAAAAATGCTCATCATCACTGGCCATCAGAGAAATGCAAATCAAAACCACAATGAGATACCATCTCACACCAGTTAGAATGGTGAAAAAGTCAGGAAAAAGATGCTGGAGAGGATGTGGAGAAATAGGAACACTTCTACACTGTTGGTGGGAATGTAAACTAGTTCAACCATTGTGGAAGACAGTGTGGTGATTCCTCAGGGATTTAGAACTAGAAATACCATTTGACCCAGCCATCCCATTACTGGGTATATACCCAAAGGATTATAAATCATGCTGCTATAAAGACACATGCACACGTATGTTTATTGCAGCACTATTCACAACAGCAAAGACTTGGAACCAACCCAAATGTCCAACAATGATAGACTGGATTAAGAAAATGTGGCACATATACACCATGGAATACTATGCAGCCATAAAAAATGATGAGTTCATGTCCTTTGTAGGGACATGGATGAAGCTGAAAACCAACATTCTCAGCGAACTATCGCAAGCACAGAAAACCAAACACTGCATGTTCTCACTCATAGGTGGAAACTGAACAATGAGAACACTTGGGACACAGGAAGGGGAACATCACACACCGGGGCCTGTCATGGGGTGGGGGGAGATGGGGGAGGGATAGCGTTAGGAGATATACCTAATGTAAATGACGAGTTAATGGGTGTGCAGCACACCAACATGGCACATGTACACATATGTAACAAACCTGCACGTTGTGCACAAGTACCCTAGAACTTAAAGTATAATTAAAAAGAAAAAAGAAAACAAGCTGTAATGGCCTCAGACGGGGATAAGTGAGGAGAAATTGTGAAATGTGGAAAAGAAGTAACTTATATATAAGTATTTATAACAATTATAGTACGTAACCTGGGCTCATATTTCCTCCATTCATAGTACATATAGGCATTGTGAGAATGAAGCAAAAATATCCTAAGGTTCTTCAACTTTCCTAAGATTCTTAAGCAACAAAGGAAGGATAGGAGAAAAAAAATACATAGAAGTAGCATATTAAAATCACTGCAATATCTGTGAGGAGAATAGGCATAAAAGACAGGAATAAAAGGGACAAAATCAGTCCAGGCAAAAATGAAGAGGGTTGAGCTAGGTAAGTGATGATAGGTCTGGGGAATAAGGAGTGGGTTTGTGAGATTTTAGGGGTGAACTTGGTGGGTCTTGGTGACTGACTAGATTTGTAGAGTAATAAAATGACTTCCAGATTCATAACTTATTGACAAACTAAATAATGTTTGCAATAAAAGAGTTAGGAATTTCAGGAGAAGAAGCAGGATTTGGATAGAAATGTTTCATTTAGGATTTGTTGCATGTAAAGGTGTTTGTGGGGTACTGATGTGGAGATGCCCAGAAGACCAACTGCATATATAGGTCTATAGATAGGAGATAACTGTGGCTGGAGACAAAGATTTTGAAGTGATCAACATGGAAAACATAGTTGAATTATGAGAGTGATGAGGTTGGTCAAAGGCTCATAGAGCAGGAGGAGCAGCTGGACAATGGAAGTCAAAGGATTATACTGGAATCAAAACCAGGATCTCAAAATCCTAACCTAGTGTTTTCCCCAACAAACCATGCTTTTATTTGCTGGGATAAGTATCACTTTATCCTAGCATATTTCTAGTTTTTCCGATTTGTATATTTCTTTAGCACGTATTTATTAACCCATTAATTGACCACATATTTACTTAGCATTTAGTTTTAAGCAGACACTGTGTTTGGCATTGGAGATGTAAAAGTCAACAAAACAGACGGTATTCATCTATTCAGGTATGGAGCTCATAATTTAGTGGAGATAAATTAAATAAATAACCACACATATAAACACAAATTTTGATAAGCACATAGAAGAAATTATAATATATACTGAGAGATATTGCAAGAGGAAGACCTAATATTGGAAGATTTGGGAACATGATATTTAACCTAAGACCTGAAAGTTGAATGAGATTAATGAGGTTAAAAGAGATTTCAGAAGCATACCAGGCAGAAGGAAGCACTCCCAATGTAAAGGCCTCAGATATGAAAGGACAAATGTGTCCAAACAATAAAAGACTCTTTGGGGCATGGTAAGTGAAGGAAGGAGTAGCATGATTTGTGTGGCTAGAGAATTAATAAGGCCCCAGTCATTTAAAAAACTAAATTATTAGAAACCAAATTAATATTCAAGTATGAGATCTTGGCTCTGTTAGTATCAGATTTAAATATCACAAAAGTTCACATTTGACTAACTGGAATAAGTAAAGATTTTGCACAGGTAGGAGACACACAAAGGCAGTGTTGACTTTACATGATAGTGTGGGACCATCAAAATGAAAACTAAAATCCTACAAAAAACTAAACTAAAACACAAAAACTAAAACCTTACAAAATAATCTTAATAATTTATGGGGAAAATTACAATTGCTTTGTGACCTTTACAATTTGTTTCAAAACCATAAAATCTTACATGCTGTCAGTTATAAATGTTTAGGAAATAAAAACATAGTAAAACTAATATTTATTTAGTACATTACAATTTAGAACACTAGGGATATTTTGAATTAAAGTGTTTTATTTCTTTGTAAACAGCTTAAATGTAACTTGTATTGTACTTGCCTGTTTTTTTGCTCACCATATAAATTATGATATGGAACATGCAATTTTTAAAAGCTTGGTGAATTGTCATACCCCTTATTTTCCTTTTTTTCTGTTTGTTTACATCTCCACAGGTATGGTGCTGTTTTTAAATGTTTTTAACAGCTTTGTTGAGGTATAATTTGTATACAAAGAATTGCACATATTTAATTTGTACAACTTGATGAATTTGGATGTGTGCAAACACCCATGCTACCATCTCCATAATCAAAGTAATAGACATATTCAACACCTCCTGAAGTGTCATTTTTTTGTGGTAAGAACACTTAACATGAAATTTACCTTCTTAAATTTTAAAGTTCACAATAGCATGCTGTTAACAATAAGCACTATAATGTACAGAAGATCTCTAGAACGTATTCATCTAGCATAACTGAAACTTTATACACATTGAACAATAGCTCCCCACTTTCCACACCTCCCAGCCTCTGGTAACCACTATTGTATTCTGCACTTTTATGTTTTTGACTATTTTAGATATCTAATATAAGTGGAATCATGCAGTACTTGTCCTTGTGTGACCAGCTTATTTCACTTAGCATAATGTCCTCCAGATTCATTTTCCAAAGAAGACATACAAATGGCCACTGGGGATGTGAAAAGATGCTCAACACAATTTGTTATTAGGGAAGTGCTAATGAAAACTACAATGAGATATCACCTCATATCTGTTAGGATAGCTATTATTTAAAAAAGATAAGTAGTTGTCTTAGTCCATTTGTGTTGCTATAAAGAAATATCAGAGAGTGGGTAATTTATTTTAAAAAAGGTTGATTTGGTCATAATTCTGCAGGCTGTACAAGAAGCATGGCATCAACATCTGCTTCTGGTGAGGGTCTCAGGAAGTTTCCGCTCATAGCAGAAAGTGGTGGTGGTGTTTAGGGAGCAGACTTCACATGACAAGAGAGGAGGAAAGAGAGAGAAAAGGAAGTCTTTTTAGTTCTCACAGGAACTAATCAAGTGAGAACTCATTCATTACCAAGCCATTGGTATGGCACCAATGAATGATATTAAGACATTCATGAGGGATTCATGCCCATAATCCAAACATTAGGGATCAAATTTCAATATAAGATTTGGAGGAGACAAATATCCAAACTGTATCACAAGTTGGGAAAGATGTGAAGAAATGAGAACCCTGTATACTGTTGGTGGGAATGTAAAATGATGCACCAAATGTGGAAAACAGTATGGAGACCAAGGTCAGCTATTTCTTCTATAACTCACATTTATATTCACTTCCAATTTCATTTCCAGCATTGTCACTTTTTTACTCATTGGTGTACTTTTATCTTTGTTTCACAGTTTCTTCTTTCAGTTATCCATTTTCTTTTTGGTAAAATTTTACATGGGTTTATCACTGGGAGACAAGGAGGCAACTACAAACTTTCCTGTCTGTGAATGAATTGCATAACACATGAGGAGTGACTAACCACTGACAGACTTTGAAAGAAGTGACATACTTGGTCACTGATCATCATACACATCTGTTACTTATGTAGTGATTTGTAGATTGGATATCTAGCAGCAAAATTTATATTATTACTCATAATTAATATGCCATAATGACTGATATTTGATCTGTGCTGTTGAGAGACTGGGGTTATTCAACTAAATCATGAAGACTGAAAGCTATGCATAGCACACCATGTGAGGGATGCTTGTATGGGGCTTAATCAAATTCATATTTTAAAAAATAAACTCTTACCTATATAGAAAAGTGATGAGGGAAATGTCACATATAGGAAGGAAGAGTTGTCAAACAGTAGAGGTACCTCACATGCCTAAATGGCAGAACAATGCTTTTTACTTGATTTAATTTTTTTCCTGAATTTTTTATGTAGTTCAGATATTACCAGCCAGGCTTTTAACTAAAACATGGCAGCATGAAATAATGGAATCTAGAAAAGTCACAAATATAGAAATAAAACCTTCATTTTAAGCATTTTTCTCTTCTTCATGGATGTTTATAAGAAAACAGTAGAAGTAGGGTTCGAAAGTGAAAAGTGTTCAATCTTGCATACACTTGTGATATTTGTACCTATGGCTCTATTGAAGTTGAATTCAAAAGTGAGTCAAAACTAGGCAGAACTGTAATCTATTTCCCTCTCAGCTGAACTTCTGACAGATCTAAGAGATTCAACCCTCTGCAGAACATGGGAAAATCTGGATAGGGCAGAACCCACTTGAAAGTAGAAATAGAGTCAGTCTAATTTGGGAAACAAAACAAAACTTAACAGAAAGAAGGTTTAACATCAGTCTTTACTGCTATTTTTGCAAAATCCAGCATACATTAAATATGAGACATGGCAGAAGAAAAAAGACATGAAATATAGTAAAGAGAAATAGTAAATACAAGGAGAAACACAGAAGACCTAACCATTGAAATTTGCAGGCAAGTGTTTTAAATGACTATTATAAATATAATAAAGATTTTTTTATATTTTAAATATAAGTCGAATCAATGAACTCAGAAATTTCTGTAAAGAAAGTGGACACTCTAGGCCAGACATGGTGGCTCATGCCTGTAATCCCAGAACTTTGGAAGGCTGAAGTGGGTACATCACCTGAGGTAGGGAGTTCAAGACCAGCGTGACCAACATGGTGAAACCCCATCTCTACTAATAATTCAAAAATTAGCCAGGCATGGCAGTGCACGCCTGTAATCCCAGCTACTCAGGAGGCTGAGGCAGAGCATCACTTGAATCTGGGAGGCAGAGGTCGCAGTAAGCTGAGATCATGCCATTGCATTCCAGCCTGAGCAACAAGAGCAAACTCCATCTAAAAAAAATAAATAAATAAAAAATAAATAACACTCCAACAAAACAACCAGATTGAAAGTCTGTAATGAAAATGTAATATGAGAAACAAAATGTTTCATATTGAGCCTAATGGCTGGTTGGTCATAGTAGAAAACATTCAAAAATTCATGAGATCGAATACAGGACAACAGAAATTATCCAAACTGAAGTACATAAAGAAAAAAATCAGAAAGAAAAAGAAAGAAAGATAAAAGATAAACAGAGCATCACTGACCCATGCGGCAATATGAAATGTGGTAACACATGTAGTTAGGGTCCCAGAGGAGAAGAGACCAAGAATGAAACTGAAAAAACTAATAATGGCAGAAAATTCTCAGCTTTTATGGAAAACACCAAGGCAGTTACCCAACAAGCTAAGCTAATCCCAGCAATTTAAAAACAATTTTATAGAAGAAGAAACAAACAAAAAACTCAAAACCCAACCCAAGTGTATTAGTCCATTTTCACACTGCCAATAAAGACATACCTGAGACTGGGCAATTTACAAAAGAATGAGGTTTAATGGACTTACAGTTCCACATGGCTGGGGAGGCTTCACAGTCATGATGGAAAGCAAGGAGGAGTGATTCACAGCTTACATGGATGGCAGCAGGCAAAGAGAGAGAGCTTGTGTGGGGAAATTCCCATTTCTTAAACCATCAGATCTTGTGAGACTTATTCACTATCATGAGAACAGCATGGAAAAGACGTGCTCCCATGATTCAGTTACCTCCCACCAGGTCCTTCTCACAACATGTGGGAATTCAAGATTAGATTTGGGTGGAGATACAGCCAAACCATATCATTCTGCCCCTGGCCACTCCCAAATCTCATGTCCTCACATTTCAAAACCAATCATGCCTTCTCAACAGTCCACCAAAGTCTTAACTTATTTCAGCATTAACTCAAAAGTTCACAGCCCAAAGTCTCACCCAAGACAAGGTAAGTCCCTTCTGCCTATGAGCCTATAATATCAAAAGCAAGTTAGTTACTTCCTAGATATAATAGGTGTACAGGTATTGGGTAAATACACCCATTCGAAATAGGAAAAATTGGCCAAAATGAAGGGGCTATAGGCCCCATGTAAGTCCAAAATCCAGCGGGGCAGTCAAATCTTAAAGCTCCAAAATGATCTCCTTGACTCCATTTCTCACATCCAGGTCATGCTGATGCCAGAGGTGGGTTCCCATGGTCTTGGGCAGCTCCACCCCTGTGGCTTTGCTGGGTAAAGCCTCCCTCCCAACTGCTTTCACAGGCTGGGGTTGAGTGTCTGCAGCTTTTCCAGGTGCATGGTGGAAGCTGTCAGTGGATCTACCATTCTAGGGTCTGGAAGATGGTGGCCCTCTTCTCACAGCTCCACTAGGCAGTGCCCCAGCAGGGACTCTGTGTCGGGGCTCCAACCCCACATTTCCCTTCTGCACTGCCCTAGCAGAGGTTCTCCATGAGGGCCTCGTCCCTGCAGCAAACTTCTGCCTGGGCATCCAGGCATTTCCATACATCCTCTGAAATGTAGGCAGAGGTTCCCAAACCTCAATTCTTGACTTCTATGCACTGCAGTCTCAATACCATGTGGAAGCTGCTGAGGCTTGGGGCTTCCACTCTCTGAAGCAATAGCCTGAGCTGTACCTTGGACCCTTTTAGTCACAACTAGAGCAGCTGGGATGCAGAGCACCAAGTCCCTGGACTGTACACAGCAGAGGGACCCTGGGCCTGGCCCATGAAGCCATATTTTCCTCCTAAGCCTCTGGGCCTCTGATGACAGAGTCTGCTGCAAAGGTCTCTGACATGTCCTGGAGACATTTTCCCTATTGTCTTGGTGATTAACATTGAGCTCCTCATTACTTATGCAAATTTCTGCAATTGACTTGAATTTCTCCTCAGAAAATGGGTTTTTCTTTTCTATTGCATTGTCAGGCTGCAAATTTTCCAAACTTTAATGCTCTGTTTCCCTTTTAAAACTGAATGCCTTTAACAGCACCCAATCACCTCTTGAATGCTTTGCTGCTTAGAAAATTCTAAGGATACCCTAAACAATCTCTCTATAGTTGGAAGTTCCACGCATCTCTAGGGCAGGGTGCAAAATGCTGACAGTCTCTTTGCTAAAACATAACCAGTCACCTTTGCTCCAGTTCCCAACAAGTTTTTCATCTCCATCTGAGACCACCTCAGCCTGGATTTCATTGTCCATACCATTATCAGCACTTTGGTCAAAGCCATTCAACTAGTTTCTAGGGAGTTACAAACTTTCCCACATTTTTCTGTCTCCTTCTGAGCCCTCTAAACTGTTCCAACCTCTGCCTGTTACCCAGTTCCGAAGTCACTTCCATATTTTCAGGTATCATTTCAGAGTGCCCAACTCTACTGGTACTAATTTACTGTATTAGACCATTTTCATGCTGCCAATAAGACATACCTGACACTGGGTGATTTACAAAAGAAAGATGTTTAATTGACTCACAGTTCCACATGGCTGGGGAGGCCTCATAATCATAGCGGAAAGTAAGGAGGAGCAAGTCACGTCTCACATGGGTGGCAGCAGGCAATGATAGAGAGCTTGGGCAGGGAAACTCTCATCTTTTAAACAGATTTCATGAGTCTTATTCACTATCACAAGAACAGCATGGGAAAGGCCTGCCCACATGATTCAATTACCTCCCATCAGGTCCCTCCCACAACACATGAGAATTCAAATGAGATGTGGGTTGGGACACAGCCAAGTCATATCACCAAGAAACATCATAATCAATCTGGTGAGAATCAAATATAAAGATAACATCATAAGAATAGCCAGAGAGAAAAGACATACTAAATGTGATAAGAAGATATTTGACAATGATAAGAAGATATCTGACAGTTCATGAAAAACAACAGAAGCCAGAAGACAATAGAATTCCGTCTTTTAAGTATCTTCAAAGTGCTTAAAGAAACAGTCAACCTAGAATACATACCCAACAAAAATAACCTTAGTTAAGTGAAATAGAGATCCTTATAGATAAACAAATGCTGAGAAAATTTGTCAGCAGACGTACACTATAGAAAGTCGTTAAAGAAGTTCTTCAGGCTAAATGAATATGATGCCAGATAGAAATCAGGACCTATATACAAAACCCCAACAAACAAACAAACAAACAAACAAACAGAAAACAACAGTGTCAGAAGTAGTAAATATGTGGGTAAAAATAAAAGATGACTTTTTCATAATTTCTTCAAAGGACAATTGACTGCTAAAAGCAAAAAAAAAATGACATTGTATTATGGAACTTATAATGTAAGTATAAGTAAAATACAGCAATAATGTATACAGGAAAAGAGGAATGAATAAAATTAAACCATTGCAATTTTCTTAGATAAAAAGTGGTGTCACCTTATTTCAAAATAGATTTTTGATACATCAAGGATGCATATTGTAACTTAAAAAGAAAAATTCTCATGGTGTAGTTTACATTTCAGGAAAGCTCCAAGACCTTTCATTGGGTTCACTAGGTGGAAATTGTTTGCCAGTTTTACAAAAACTGACATTAAGATTTAAAGTGCCTTAGCATGAATCAAGATAGTGGCAACAAAACGTATTGGTAGTCTTTGTAATTATCATCGCCCTGCACCTGCAGTAATAATAATAATAATGCCAGTTTCACATCAGAATGTCTTTGAAGAAGTGGTAAAAATCATTGCTCTTATTCAAATGTGACCCTTAAGTATGCATTTTTTAATATCTCTATTATAAAATAAGATGTATAAATTGCTTGTACTGCATACAAATATATAATAGTGGCCTCAAGGAAAAGCTTTTGTATGTTTGTCTGAGTTGTAGGTTAACCTATGTACTTTTTCCACAGAATGCCATTTAAATTGAGAGATGAACTATGCTTATTCAGACTTTGTTATTTGGTTGACATTTTCTCAAAAGTTAACAAAGTAAACAAACTTAAGAAAATAATTCACAGTATTTGTTGTCAATAATTATATTTAAGCTGTCAAGCAAAAATTAGAATTGTGAAAAACTTGTATGTATGACCAAAAGCTTGACAGCCTCCGATATTAAAATGTTTCCCAATAAGATAGGTGATGATATTAATAAATGTGAGTTTTTGATGTCATGTAAGAAAAGGAATTGTCATTTGGAAGATTTACATAACTCACTGACTCACTGAAGGGATTTTTTTTTCAAATGACCAATGTATGTTGTTACAAAATCATGCATGAGTAAAGGATCCTTTAAAAATGCAGATAGGCCAAGGATTTTAATATAACAGAAAAAAAAATTCATTGATATAGTTTCAGGTTCCACACTGCAAATAAATTTTAAGTAATTAATACTTGTGAAGTTTTGTGTAGTATTAAAGAATATTATGTAAAATTGTCTGAAAAGGTTAGAAAATATTCCTCTTTTTCTAACTACATGTATGTTTGAAACTGGATTTCTTTTCATCTACTTTACCCAAAACCAATATACCACAACAGATTTAATGCAGAGGCATATATGGCAATTCAGCTGTCTTCTATCAAGTCAGATATTAAAGAGGTGTGCAAGAAAATGTAAAATAATATCATTTTTGGCTGAAATTCTTTGCTTTAGAAAATACATTTTAAGATCAAGCCAAGATGGCCAAATAGGAACAGCTCCGGTCTACAGCTCCCAGCATGAGCCACACAGAAGACGTGTGATTTCTGCATTTCCATCTGAGGTACCGGGTTCATCTCACTAGGGAGTGCCAGACAGTGGGCGCAGGACAGTGGGTGCAGTGCACCGTGCGCGAGCCGAAGCAGGGCGAGGCATTGCCTCACTTGGGAAGCACAAGGGGTCAGGGAGTTCCCTTTCGTACTCAAAGAAAGGGGTGACAGACGCCACCTGAAAAATTGGGTCACTCCCACCCTAATACTGTGCTTTTCCGAGGGGCTTAAAAAACGGCGCACCAGGAGATTATATCCTGCACCTGGCTCAGAGGGTCCTACGCCCACGGAGCCTCGCTGATTGCTAGCGCAGCAGTCTGAGATCAAACTGCAAGGCTCAAGGCGGCAGCGAGGCTGGGGGAGGGGCGCCCGCCATTGCCCAGGCTTGCTTAGGTAAACAAAGCAGCCGGAAAGCTCCAACTGGGTGGAGTCCACCACAGCTCAAGGAGGCCTGCCTGCCTCTGTAGGCTCCACCTCTGGGGGCAGGGCACAGACAAACAAAAAGACAGCAGTAACCTCTGCAGACTTAAATCTCCCTGTCTGACAGCCTTGAAGAGAGCAGTGGTTCTCCCAGCACGCAGTTGGAGATCTGAGAACAGGCAGACTGCCTCCTCAAGTGGGTCCCTGACCCCTGACCCCCCAGCAGCCTAACTGGGAGGCACCCCCCAGTAGCGGCAGACTGAGACTTCACACGGCCGGGTACTCCTCTGAGACAAAACTTCCAGAGGAACGATCACACAGCAGCATTCGTGGTTCACGAAACTCCGCTCTTCTGCAGCCACCACTGCTGTTACCCAGGCAAACAGCGTCTGGAGTGGACCTCCAGCAAACTCCAAAAGACCTGCAGCTGAGGGTCCTGTCTGTCAGAAGGAAAACTAACAAACAGAAAGGACATCCACACCAAAAACCCATCTGTACATCACCATCATCAAAGACCAAAAGTACATAAAACCACAAAGATGGGGAAAAAACAGAGCAGAAAAACTGGAAACTCTAAAAAGCAGAGCGCCTCTCCTCCTCCAAAGGAACGCAGTTCCTCACCAACAATGGAACAAAGCTGGATGGAGAATGACTTTGACGAGTTGAGAGAAGAAGCCTTCAGACAATCAAACTACTCCGAGCTACAGAAGGAAATTCAAACCAAAGGCAAAGAAGTTCAAAAGTTTCAAAAAAATTTACACGAATGTATAACTAGAATAACCAATACAGAGAAGTGCTTAAAGGAGCTGATGGAGCTGAAAGCCAAGGCTCGAGAACTAAGTGAAGAATGCAGAAGCCTCAGGAGCCGATGCCATCAACTGGAAGAAAGGGTATCAGTGATGGAAGATGAAATGAATGAAATGAAGCATGAAGGGAAGCTTAGAGAAAAAAGAATAAAAAGAAATGAACAAAGCCTCCAAGAAATATGGGACTATGTGAAAAGACTAAATCTACATCTGATTGGTGTACCTGAAAGTGACGGAGAGAATGGAACCAAGTTGGAAAACACTCTGAGGATATTATCCAGGGGAACTTCCCCAATCTAGCAAGGCAGGCCAACATTCAGATTCAGGAAATACAGAGAACGCCACAAAGATACTCGTCGAGAAGAGCAACTCCAAGACACATAATTGTCAGATTCACCAAAGATGAAATGAAGGAAAAAATGTTAAGGGCAGCCAGAGAGAAAGGTTGGGTTACCCACAAAGGGAAGCCCATCAGACTAACAGCGGATCTATTGGCAGAAACTCTACAAGCCAGAAGAGAGTGGGGGCCAATATTCAACATTCTTAAAGAAAAGAATTTTCAGCCCAGAATTTCATATCCAGCCAAACTAAGCTTCATAAGTGAAGGAGAAATAAAATCCTTTACAGACAAGCAAATGCTGAGAGATTTTGTCACCACCAGGCATGCCCTAAAAGAGCTCCTGCAGGAAGCACTAAACAGGGAAAGGAACAACCGGTACCAGCCACTGCAAAATCATGCCAAACTGTAAAGACCATCGAGGCTAGGAAGAAACTGCATCAAATAACGAGCAAAATAACCAGCTAACATCATAAAGACAAGATCAAATTCCCACATAACAATATTAACTTTAAATGTTAATGGACTAAATGCTCCAATTAAAAGACACAGACTGGCAAATTGGATCAAGAGTCAAGACCCATCAGTGTGCTGTATTCAAGAAACCCATCTCACGTGCAGAGACACACATAGGCTCAAAATAAAAGGATGGAGGAAGATCTACCAAGCAAATGGAAAACAAAAAAAGGCAGGGGTTGCAATCCTAGTCTCTGATAAAACAGAGTTTAAACCAACAAAGATCAAAAGAGACGAAGAAGGCCATTACATAATGGTAAAGGGATCAATTCATCAAGAAGAGCTAACTATCCTAAATATATATGCACCCAATACAGGAGCACCCAGATTCATAAAGCAAGTCCTGAGTGACCTACAAAGAGACTTAGACTCCCACACATTAATAATGGGAGACTTTAACACCCCACTCTCAGCATTAGACAGATCAACGAGACAGAAAGTTAACAAGGATACCCAAGAATTGAACTCAGCTCTGCACGAAGCGGACCTAATAGACATCTACAGAACTCTCCACCCCAAATCAACAGAATATACATTTTTTTCAGCACCACACCACACCTATTCCAAAATTGACCACATAGTTGGAAGTAAAGCTCTCCTCAGCAAATGTAAAAGAACAGAAATTATAACAAACTATCTCTCAGGCCACAGTGCAATCAAACTAGAACTCAGGATTAAGAAATTCACTCAGAACTGCTCAACTACATGGAAACTGAACAACCTGCTCCTGAATGACTACTGGGTACATAACGAAATGAAGGCAGAAATAAAGATGTTCTTTGAAACCAACAAGAACAAAGACACAACATACCAGAATCTCTGGGACACATTCAAAACAGTGTGTAGAGGGAAATTTATAGCACTAAATGCCCACAAGAGAAAGCAGGAAAGATCCAAAATTGACACCCTAACATCACAATTAAAAGAACTAGAAAAGCAAAAGCAAACACATTCAAAAGCTAGCAGAAGGCAAGAAATAACTAAAATCAGAGCAGAACTGAAGGAAATAGAGACATAAAAAACCCTTCAAAAAATTAATGAATCCAGAAGCTGCTTTTTTGAAAGGATCAACAAAATTGATAGACTGCTAGCAAGACTAATAAAGAAGAAAAGAGAGAAGAATCAAATAGATGCAACAAAAAATGATAAAGGGGATATCACCACCGATCCCACAGAAATACAAACGACCATCAGAGAATACTACAAACACCTCTACGCAAATAAACTAGGAAATCTAGAAGAAATAGATAAATTCCTCGACACATACACCCTCCCAAGACTAAACCAGGAAGAAGTTGAATCTCTGAATACACCAATAACAGGATCTGAAATTGTGGCAATAATCAACAGCTTACCAACCAAAAACAGTCCAGGACCAGATGGATTCACAGCCAAATTCTACCAGAGGTACAAGGAGGAACTGGTACCATTCCTTCTGAAACTATTCCAATCAATAGAAAAAGAGGGAATCCTCCCTAACTCATTTTATGAGGCCAGCATCATCCTGATACCAAAGCCGGGCAGAGACACAACCAAAAAAGAGAATTTTAGACCAATATCCTTGATGAACATTGATGCAAAAATCCTCAATAAAATACTGGCAAACCGAATCCAGCAGCACATCAAAAAGCTTATCCACCATGATCAAGTGGGCTTCATCCCTGGGATGCAAGGCTGGTTCACTATATGCAAATCAATAAATGTAATCCAGCATATAAACAGAACCAAAGACAAAAACCACATGATTATCTCAATAGATGCAGAAAAGGCCTTTGACAAAATTCAACAGCCCTTCATGCTAAAAACTTTCAATAAATTAGGTATTGATGGGATGTATCTCAAAATAATAAGAGCTCTCTATGACAAACCCACAGCCAATATCATACTGAATGGGCAAAAACTGGAAGCATTCCCTTTGAAAACTGGCACAAGACAGGGATGCCCTCTCTCACCACTCCTATTCAACATAGTGTTGGAAGTTCTGGCCAGGGCAATCAGGCAGGAGAAGGAAATAAAGGGTATTCAATTAGGAAAAGAGGAAATCAAATTGTCCCTGTTTGCAGATGACATGATTGTATATCTAGAAAACCCCATTGTCTCAGCCCAAAATCTCTTTAAGCTGATAAGCAACTTCAGCAAAGTCTCAGGATACAAAATCAATGTAGAAAAATTACAAGCATTCTTATACACCAATAACAGGCAAACAGAGACTCAAATCATGAGTGATCTCCCATTCACAATTGCTTCAAAGAGAATAAAATACCTAGGAATCCAACTTACAAGGGACGTGAAGGACCTCTTCAAGGAGAACTACAAACCACTGCTCAATGAAATTAAAGAGGATACAAACAAATGGAAGAACATTCCATGCTCATGGGTAGGAAGAATCAATATCTTGAAAATGGCCATACTGCCCAAGGTAATTTATGGATTCAATGCCATCCCCATCAAGCTACCAATGACTTTCTTCACAGAATTGGAAACAACTACTTTAAACTTCATACGGAACCAAAAAAGAGCCCGCATTGCCAAGTCAATCCTAAGCCAAAAGAACAAAGCTGGAGGCATCACGCTACCTGACTTCAAAGTATACTACAAGGCTACAGTAACCAAAACAGCATGGTACTGGTACCAAAACAGAAATATAGATCAATGGAACAGAACAGAGCCCTCAGAAATAACGCCACATATCTACAACTATCTGATCTTTGACAAACCTGAGAATGGGGAAAGGATTCCCTGTTTAATAAAGCAATGGGGAAAGGATTCCCTATTTAATAAATGGTGCTGGGAAAACTGGCTCGCCATATGTAGAAAGCTGAAACTGGATCCCTTCCTTACACCTTATACAAAAATTCATTCAAGATGGATTAAAGACTGAAATGTTAGACCTAAAACCATAAAAACCCTACAAGAAAACCTAGGCATTACCATTCAGGACATAGGCATGGGCAAGGACTTCATGTCTAAAACACCAAAAGCAATGGTAATAAAAGCCAAAATTGACAAATGGGATCTAATAAAACTAAAGAGCTTCTGCACAGCAAAAGAAACTACCATCAGAGTGAACAGGCAACCTACAAAATGGGAGACAATTTTCACAACCTACTCATCTGACAAAGGGCTAATATCCAGAATCTACAATGAACTCAAACAAATTTACAAGAAAAATACAAACAACCCCATCAACAAGTGGGCGAAGGAGATGAACAGACACTTCTCAAAAGAAGACATTTATGCAGCCAAAAGACACATGAAAAAATGCTCATCATCACTGGCCATCAGAGAAATGCAAATCAAAACCACAATGAGATACTATCTCACACCAGTTAGAATGGTGATCATTAAAAGGTCAGGAAACAACAGGTGCTGGAGAGGATGTGGAGAAATAGGAACACTTTTACACTGTTGTGGGACTGTATACTAGTTCAGCCATTGTGGAAGTCAGTGTGGCGATTCCTCAGGGATCTAGAACTAGAAATACCATTTGACCCAGCCATCCCATTACTGGGTATATACCCAAAGGACTATAAATCATGCTGCTATAAAGACACACGCACATGTATATTTATTGCAGCACTATTCACAATAGCAAAGACTTGGAACCAACCCAAATGTCCATCAATGATAGACTGGATTAAGAAAATGTGGTGTGCCATATACACCATGGAATACTATGCAGCCATAAAAAATGATGAGTTCATGTTCTTTGTAGGGACATGGATGAAATTGGAAATCATCATTCTCAGTAAACTATCGCAAGGACAAAAAACCAAACACTGCATGCTCTCACTCATAGGTGGGAATTGAATCATGAGAACACATGGACACAGGAAGGGGAACATCACACTCTGGAGACTGTTATGGGGTGTGGGGAGGGATAGCATTAGGAGATATACCTAATGCTAAATGATGAGTTAATGGGTGCAGCACACCAGCATGGCACTTGTATACATATGTAACTAACCTGCACATTGTGCACATGTACCCTAAAACTTAAAGAATAATAATAATAAATTTAAAAAAAAGAAAGAGTTTACAAAAAAAAAAAGAAAATACATTTTAATACAAATCATTATGTTAGCATGGAATGGGTCTGTTTTTCAAATAAAATAGTAAATATTATCCAAAAATTGCTTTAATTTCCAATACAGATAACACTACTAGATACTGCCTAAACATGAACAAATGTTTTTCGGGGTCCTCAATAATTTTTAAGAGTCTAAAGATTGTTGAGAAGAACAACAAAAACTTAAAAATCACTGTGCCAGAACAGCTACATCTTGAAATTCTATATTTGATTCAAATTTCACTTCTGATATAAATGTGTTTCTATTGTTCCCCAGTTTCCTGAGTCAAAGCAAGTATTTCTCTACTTTTAAGTAGCACTTTAGAGTTACTTTAACTAATTTATTAATTTATTTGAGACAGAGTCTCACTCTGTCACCTGGGCTGGAGTGCAGTGGCACTATCACGGCTCACTGCAGCCTCACCCTCCTAGGCTCAAGCGATCCTCCCACCTCAGTGTTCCAAGTAGCGAGGACTACAGGTGCGTGTCACACATGCTTGGCTAATTTTTGTATTTTTGGTAGAGATGGAGTTTTACCACGTTGCCCAGGCTGGTCTCAAATTCCTGGGCTCAAGCGATCCTCCTGCCTTGGCCTCCCACAGTGCTGGGATTACAGGTGTGAACCACTGTGCCTTGCCTAGAGTAACTTCAGGAAGTACTCCCATACCATTTTATTCGTACAATATTACTTACTACAATTTATTATGGCTTCTAATGCCCATCGATTACATTTCCTATTAGAATGTAAACTTCATAAGGGCAAATCTATGTCTAATTTCCTTTTGCATTCCCCCATGTGTCTACCACAGTTTTAGCACTAAATAAATACTAGCCAGCCCAATGAACACATGAAAATAGACACATGAAAATATGCATTGGCAGGACCACTAATATTAGGTATTCAGTCATTCATCTTCCCTATATTTCATCACCACATGCTGATTCAGGATGGAATGCACATCACACTGGTTCTTCTGTCACATTTCTCTTCTTAAAAATAAGAAATTCTGAATTGTACTAATACCAGATTCATTTCTCAAATTAATCAGAAGAAAAAGCACAAGTGCCTGGGTCTCTGGGAAGCCAGCCAATATCTAAGGAATCTATAATTTCTATAAAAATTATATATATATAAGAAGATATATATATATGAAGATATATACATGAAGATACATATATATGAAGATATATTTTCTATCTTCATATATGAGAGAGGTATGAAGACAGAAAAGAGGAAAAGGAAATCTTGACTACTTGCAATCACATATAATATTTTATCTTCTATATGCATATTCTTAATGAGAACTTAAGTTCCTGTTAACTACAGGTCATTAAGGACCCCTTCCTGGGGGGTTATGGACATACGTAAATGAAAAATTAAGGGCATCAATAAATACTGAGAGACAGTTCAAAGGTGTTGACGTGTCATCTTACAAAAGAAATTAAATTTATCCCCTTCTTTATTTAATGAATATGTTGAAATTCTTTGTTTTTATGACCCGAATCTAGTTTTTAGATGGAAAACAAACAAACAAAATCAAACTCCTAGTGAGAGAAAGTTCATTTGAGAATTCTGAGTTTATTAAGTTTGTGTTTTCCCTAAGAGTTCTAATTAATTTCTTCAATCATATACCAGCAACTGAGTATCTGAGTATATCTTAGGATTACAGTGACTAGTAAAAGGTAGTCCATCACTATAGGGAATTGTTTCTTGGACTCCAGCTCTTTGATGGATTTTTTTCAATTGGATAAGGCTTGGGGAGGGATAACATTAGGAGAAATACCCTAATGTAGATGATGGGTTGATGGGGGCAGCAAACCACCGTGGCATGTGTATACCTATGTAACAAACCTGCACGTTCTGCACATGTATCCTAGAACTTAAAGTACAATAATAAAAAAAAGAACTTCAAAAAAAAGTTATTTTCTTGACATAAATCCCATATGCTAATATCTGGCTTATGTGTTTGCTGCAGTGTTATATTATAGAGGAAGGACAGGTAGAGCCTACAATACTTGCAATGTTAAGAAAAACAAACAAGCAGACCCTGTTGCAGAAAGAAGGAGAAAGTTACATAATGCCTAGATGTTAATGGCCTGAGGAAAGAAATGGAGGTTAAAAGGAAGTTCATGGCATTCTCAGGGCTGACATTTACAGGGCATGAGGGAAATGGAAGCACATGAAACTGGAAAATCAAACTGGATGTCCTTTCGTTTCTGTCTGCTTTGTTTTCAATACTGTAGTATTTGAGACATGTGAAAAGATTGTAAAGAAGAAAATATGTCCAAATCTCTCTTTTAAAAAGTGAATATTCTCAAGTATAAGGATGGTATTAATTAAGAGAGACAAGTATTTTTGTACATAACTGCTTCAGACCACCCAAAAGTAAGCCTCTGACATGCAGAATGTAAAACTGATTCATCATTAATTCATTTAACACATAGTTGTTCACAAATAGTTTGACACTTTTATTCCTCTGAAGTTGGATTTTACAACATATTGTCAATAGGTCTTTGTGCCCCCAGAGAGAAAAGACACACACTTCTTCCCTGAAATACCTCTTCACATCAAAATGGTGCTTATGGAACTGCGAAGACCTAAGTGTAGATTCTAACAGTTGAATAGTTCTTAGAGATTATTTGTTAAAGCACCATCTACCTCAAATAAAGAAAAAAACAAATGTTAAACTATAAGG
This sequence comes from Homo sapiens, assembly GCF_000001405.40. NCBI lineage: Eukaryota > Metazoa > Chordata > Mammalia > Primates > Hominidae > Homo > Homo sapiens. The sequence continues at coordinate 31,929,455 of NC_000009.12, read as the reverse complement.
AAAAGTAAAGTATTGACACCAGAAATGCTCCTGGGTAAAGCAGCTGGTCACGATTTCCTGTGGTCAGAGGTGGTTATTGAATTGAAAACTTCCATTTGTGTTTTCTCTATTTTTCTCCACCCAGCAGCCAGTGTGACCTTTTAGGCCAGTGAATTTGACCATGTTATTCTCCTCTTTAAAAACATTGATCCTTTTCTGTACCTCTGAAGATAAATACAAAATGTTAACATGGCTTGCATACTTTCCTTGATCCAAACTGCCCGTGGTGCAAATTCTATTTCTCATCTCATTCCTTGGCCTTTGAAAAAATGTCCTCAAAACTGCCTCAAAGCCATGAAGCACACAATCCTTTTCTCTTTTAGAAGTCTCCTCTTGATCTTCTACATCTGGAATAATTCCCATTTGCTCTTCAAGTCTCAGCTTAAATGCAATTTCCTGAGAGAAAGATTCCCTGACTCCTAATCTAAATTAGGTCATCCAAGTTAGTCTGTTTCATAATACCCTTACATATTCTTTTATATTATTTATCAAATTCTGTCATTATATATTTAGTCATGCATTTAAATGTGTTTCTCCACTGTAATGAATGCTGCTTGAAGAAAATGAACATGTCTACTTGATTCCCCATGTAGAGAGAGGAGCATGCAGCTCAATGACTGACACATAGCAAGTCCTCAACATGTCCTTGTTAATTGAATAAGACTAATTAATAGACTTCCAGATGATCACAGTGCACATTAGTAGTGTTTAACTTATTTTTCTAATGAAGATCCATAAATAAGATAAGAATTGGCAAATTTTAAAGAAAGAAAACTTTCCAAATTTCAGTAGATACTATATTTTCAGCAGATACTGCTACCAGGAATATGGACCAAAGGGATGAATTGAAAATTTTTTCATGTTCATTTTCCTGGACTTCTCTGAACCCTAGACAAAAACAGAAAAAGTCTTTGCCTGAAGCACTATTTTTGTCATTTATCACCTGAAAATCTAGGTAGCCACCAGCTACTCTGAACCACTTATTTTTTTGTATCCAGAAGATTAATGTCCCCCCAGGCACAAACAGGTTATTTCTTTTCAAATCCTTGCAGAAGCCAAATTTCCAATACCCTAACATGGCTGGGGGTAGAGATTACTGACCAGTGACCAATTTTACCATGGGTCCAAGGACTGCATTATGGAGAAGAATGAAGTCAGGAAGAGCTGCGTGGACACATTGTGGGGTGCAGTCCTCTATAGACAACCCTGTACAGGAGGAATTGTTTTTCTTAAAGACAATTACTAATTCTGGTTTTCTAATTCAACTTCTGGTCAGCTTCTCTGCACTGTGTTGTCTGTCTTCAGGAAGCCCTAAATAAGTTCTCCTCTAAATAAGTTCTTTAATTTTGCCCCCTTGTCTTGATTTGGACTTTCATGTTGAATCATTTATTTTCCCATGCCCTTTCTAATTAATTTGCCAGGCTAAATTAGTGCCAAATAAATAATGAGCTCCCAAATTAGCTGACACCATAATGGAAAAGAGATTTAATTAATTTGCTATCAGGGGTCTCTACAGACAATTGTATGTTTATAGCATAAAATGATGGTATTTATTAATGTGGAAAGTTTTATTATTTTAACAGGTTGTTTTAATAACCAGACTTTAATATGGAAGTGTCCTCATTTTCATCTATGTAAACAGTGGGACTCAGGTCAGGCAAAGACCACATTGATATTCAGTAAATTTAATTTCCTATGAAGTTCTTTGATTTCACTTTAATTAGCATTAAAATAGTTGGTAACTTTCTCAACTATAATGTTTAAGTATTCAGATAATCTTTATAATTTTAACCCACATCTTAGAGGCATAAACCTATACCAAAATCTCTATTATCTGCCTTTCACTGGATCACCATTTGTTCTTATAGAAGAAATTCTATAACTGACTTCAGTATATGTTCTACACCAATCTTTTCTACTATTTCCCTAAGTGGATCCTTAATATGCTACCCCTTTCTATATAATCCTGGCTAGTAGAGACTGTACAATAACCAGGAAGTGCTACTTGTCAAACATATGACTAGAAAAATAATATACACCAAAAACTCTGATTTCCTTTTACATAAAATGTAGATATTGTAGGTATAATTAACTACCCTATTAAGTCCACTGGATTGTCTAGAAAATTAAGTAGATTATGGTTATGTAAACCACGAGGTTCCATAGAAAAAATTGAAAACCCATTTTTTTGAGTATTCTATATAGTAAAGACCCTATGCTAGTATCATTTATATCTTTGTTAAGTCTTAAAAATAATCATATGTTAAGTATCCGTATAAGTAGTAAAATATTTGTAAAGTACTTGCAATAAAGTATATAAAGTATAAATATCTGTATCAGTAGTAATAAGAATAAGTCATGAAAGATATTGAGTCATCTTTCTTATATTCAATTAACATATCCATCCCACCTTCTAAATCTCAGACAGGTTCCTCACTGGGCTAACTCTGACCAAACCATGCACTGAGAGGCTCCGAAAATGCAGTTCTCAGGGTTACTAAGTTGACACAGCACAATCCACCACAGCTAATCCAAAGGGTGAACAGAATGAAGTCTATGAAATAATGGAGGGATGGAGGAATGCATGCATCTTAAGACCAATGATTCAAATGGGTAACTGAGGAGGAAGGGGGAATAGAATTTGTTCAGTTTTTTAAGTGTGTGCAATAGAAATAGGTGGGCTATACGCAGCGCAGTATGTCATCACTTAACATTGTTGATAGGTTCTTGGAAACTAACTTTAAGCAAAACTACATAGAAGCAGACCAAATTTACCATAGGCTAATTGATATAAACAAAGGTTAAGTTCCTACAGCATATTTCTGGTCATGAAAGCATCATCAAACTTCTAAGTAAAGACCAAAACACTTCTTTTTTTATTTCCACTTTAAATTAGCACCATTTAATTTTTTTAAAACAATTATTTCTTATGAATACATCATAATTATACATATTTATGGGGGTCATGTGATATTTTGATGCAAGCATACAATGCGTAATGATCAAATCACTTTAATATTAAATGTTGATATAAACATGAGTGATGTATACATTTAAGAAATATTGATACAAATAAGTAAGATAATTATTTACCCAATTATTTCAGTTCAGGGAAGTGTCCAGAGTCTATGCCTGCAGCTCAGGTACAAGGCAGGAACAAACCCTGTACAGGATACCATTCCATTGCAGGGCACGCTTACTCACATATCCATACTCACTCATATGAGGACAACTTAGACACGATGATTAACCCCACATGCACATCTTTGGGATGTGGAAAAACCTTGAATCTTGAGTACCCAGAGAAAACCCAGGCAGACATGAGGTGAATGTGCAAACTCCACACAGACTGTGGCCCAAGCAGAAAACTGATTTTCTTCATCAACATTATAACAAAACAATGTTGAAAGAAACAATGTTATTCAAAGATGTGCTGTATTTCAAATCAAGCTTCTGAAAATATAGGTACTTTGTGTAATAAAGAGAGCAGGGTGAACGCAGGTAAATAATGTGAATAATTAAAAGTCATGCTCTACCATGTGATGGAAAGTGTCTAGTATAATTGTTAAGTTGATGGTTCAATATATTTATGAGCAATCTATGATTTTCTATTTGTACTGAAGAAAAAATGTTATGATTGAAGTTAAGAGTGTGACAATCTGTGTAAATTTTATTTGGAATATCTCTGTAAATGAAGCAGTGATAAGCAGGTAAACCGGGATGGAAAATTTATAGCAGAACATTCTCATGATTGAGAGAGGAAAGATAGATTTTCGTGGGTTACTAAAATGGGAGGATTACTTAATGTTCTAAAGCTGAAATTTAACAAATAATTAATATGCATTTAGTCAGGAAAATCTTTGTGCCTCTGGGTAGATAAACTCCACAAGAAAATTCTTAAAGGAAAAGATTAGCTGCTGACTCAAAAAATATGCCTAATATTACCTACAGCTTATTCTTAAGGATCTCTTCTCTCTCTCTCTTTCTCCCTATCTTGATAGATAGATAGATGATAGATAGATAGATAGATAGATAGATAGATAGATAAATGGATTCCATCACATAATATCCTGTATATATGTATATAAAAATCTCTTATTGATTTAATCCTTACTTAAAACTGTTGTGGTAAGTATTATTCTCATTTTAGAAATGAGTAAACTAGATTCAGAGAGATTAAAGAACAGGAAAGACTTCATTCAGCTAATAAGTTGCAGAGCTGAGATTCAAACACCAGTTTCATGCTTCCATTTTCCCTCTGCTACAAGCCACTACTTAAGCCTGGCTTATGAGACTACGTGCCTGCTTGCTGACATGTCTCATCATCAGTCTCGTTTTAACATTTGTGCATCTTAGGGCACATACACAGATTCTCTTCTCACCCCTGCCTCTGTCTTGCACCCTGAGGAATCTTACACATAACTGGGTAGACACTGCAGTCCACAAAGACATACTCCATCCAACCTCTCCCCAGTGCCCCCTGGCCTCCCTCTTGCCTAGAGATACACACACCAACATCACAGTCTACCTTAAAACACAGGTAAACACAGACTCTGGAGGTGGGCTTGGGATAGTCTGGGTGGGAATTTTAGGTTCCTAGGTATCCAAAGTCTGATCTAGAAGAGGACCTGGGATTTGGACTCTGTATGGACCATGTCCACTTGGTCTTGTGGGTTCCTCATTCCATGAAGAGTGGGCACAGCCAGAGAAGGCTCAGGGAGGGGCAGAGTCCCTGGAGAGGAACAGCTGCCATACTTGTGCAATAATTGATAATTACCTACTCACATCAATGTCCTCTTGGTTCACATGGAAGGCGGTAGTTGACGGACTTTTTGACCCTCTCTCTAACCCTTCCCCTACTTTGGGTCAACACATGGCAAGCTACATTTGAGGTAAAGAGAGAGAGAGAGAGAGAGCAGTTAAAAAAAAAAAGTGTCAGTTCAACCCGCGAAATTTACTCTAAAATTTTTGAAGAATTCTGAGCTGTGTTTGCTACATGGCAGATCTAAAAATGCCCCCAGCAGATACTTAGAAATGAGCCAAGGAAAAAGAACAAAGCCCATTCCATTGTAAGCCAGCCTGCCAACATACTCCCTGGAATCAGCCAATAATTCATGCAGAGTGATGCTACTTAGCAAATTGTTCCATGTCCTTCCTCTTACATCCATCTTGAGAAATATCTCAGGCTCCAATCAGTGTCAAAAATCGAAGAATTAAGAATTAAGACTCCAAGACCTCACTGCCTGAAAACACATCATCTCATGCCTTTTACCAATGTTACTTACAAAATATGTTTTTTTTTCTTTAAAGGGACATAAATTGGATGAAGGGAAAAACTTAAATGGCTTCCTGATATCTTTTGTGCTGAAAACATACATAACGTAGGCTCTGCCAGGAAGAACATATAGAGAACAGAGGTTTCTATAGTCAGTCTTCATTGGCAGTCTGAACTGGTTCTGAGTAAAAAATTCATAATGCGGAAAATAGGTCTGAAACTCATCACTAGTTTTGAGAAATTACCATATTTACCTAAGGTGATATTGGCTAAAACTTCAGAATAAATTTTATCTAATGCAATCACTTTGCTTTTAGGAACATAATATAGGTATCAAAGCTAAAGACTGAAGAGAAACTAAAGTCTGTAGCTGGAAAAAAATTGTCATAGGTCATTATAGTAATCATTGTTTTAATAAATGCACCTATTGAAGTTTAAGGGAAGACCGATGTTTAAATTGCCATGAACAGTTGGTGAAAATATTGATGTAAGATCCCTTCCTCTTTTTCCTAATAACAGTGAAAAATTAAATCAATTTTTATGAGCAAGGAGTCACTAAGGACTGTAATGAAAAGAGAATGAAACAATTTAAACAAATACACATTTAGGGCTCAAAACATAACTTAAAGCAAAGACCCTCCTTGACGAATTTACCTAATAATCCAATGTAGGCATTAACCATTAACTGCCATTGGTGTTTAGCTATTGCACAAGATTAAAACGTTTATAGAAATATTCTATATTGATGGTTTCACAGATCATCAAAGTCATCTACGGCAGTGATTCTCAAGCTTTCGTGTGCATTCAAATCACCAGGCAATCTTGTTAAAATGAAGATGCTGACTCAGTAGGTCTGGGTGTGGGGCCTGGGATTCTGCATTTTTAAGACACTCCCACGTGATATTCACACTGCTTGTTTATGCATCATACTTTGGGTAGCAAAAACCTAGAGACCTAAGTAGGTTTTCACAGATTCTGAAACCCCACTCCTAGAGATTCAAACTTAGTGCAAAAGAACTTGAAAATTTTTTCATTTTATAGATGAGGAAACTGAAGTTCAAAGAGGTATAGTGACATCATGGTCAGTCGTCAAGTCAATAGTAGACCAAAAGCCTCCTAATTCCAGTGCAAGGCTGTTTTATCTACACAGCAATGCCTCCCATATCATGAGAACCTTCTGTGTTTTACAGTCAGGATGTTCCACCTGTGCAGTTACACAGGGCTTCATGCTAAGAAGGACCTCATGCTTAGGGTCTAATGCTCTGTGGTTGCCGTCTTGAAATTTATAATAATTTCATCTTTGAATCTGTGTTTTGTAATTAAAGTCCAATGGGACAATGAAACATGTGCAAAAGGCAGGGCTTGGAGTGTCAGCTCACACATGTTCTTTCCATGTGTGATTATCGGCCACCTGCCACCCATCCCTGGTGCCCCAGGGTCTACTCGTCCTCCCTTTTTTATTTCTGTCCCAGATTGTTGCCAGCCTCCATCAGTAGCTGTTCCAGGTCACATTAGTGAGAAGAGGCTCACATTCCGCCAATAGCCTTCACCCACTGTGGAGGTCTGGGTATGGATGTGGGGAAGGTTAGGGATGAGAATATCCCACAGTGGCCCAGGTTAGGGCACAATGGCAGCGTCCAATACCATGGTATGAGTGTTAGGTGGCTTGTCAGGGGCCTCTCAACTCCCCTAATGCAAGTACCAACATGTATCTCTGGAGGATTAAATCCCATGGACAGTGAGCTGGTAAGGAGTTGTAATTCCCCCTGCTTGTCTGCAGCCTTGAATTATGACTTTGCATTGGCTCTTTTTATGGTGAATTTAATCCTCTAATAAGACTGTAACCAGAGGATGTACTGGAAATATCTTCAAGGATCTGATTTTAGTCAGCTTTTATGGACTACACTCCAGATAGTTACCAGATTATTGATTTAAACTGTAGAAGCCTTTATAATTACTACTGTAAACAGTCTTTCCATGGTGATGTAGCTGTTGGTTTACATTCTGATTTCGTGCTTGTTTGAGATATAGCACAGAGCGAGCCAACTGGGCATATCGTATGGTTGGTTTCATAAAACTATGCTTCCTATTGGGAATATTTTGTTAGAGTGCTGTCCTGTGACAGAAATTGCAGCCTCTCCTCTCCTAGAGAAGAATGAGGTGTACTTTAGGGAACCCATGAGATGCCATGACAAATTTCTTCCATCCTTTGCTTTCTTTTGTGTGCCCCCAAATCTATCACATGGGCAAGGTTACAGAGGGATAGCCACTGATAGAGATATCCCCTCTACTCCATCTTCCAGGTCAAAAGGTGCTGAAAGAGGCAATCCTAACTACACTTATGTGTTTATCTTTAGTGACAGCATGCAGTGTTCCTTGCCATTAGGCCTCACCAAAAGTAGAACACCAGAGACAGCTTTGTAACCTGAGAAATGGCCAGAAGGATCACAAGGGTCTGAGCACCTAGCTGTTTAACAGGCTATATCCTCAGAAGCTAGGTCAGAATTTTTTTTCCCAGCAAAATCATATATGATGTCCATGTTTCTGCTTCAAGAGAAATTTATTTTCAATTAATTTCTGCATGCAACCAGGCAATGTACAATCATCTCTGCACACATAGAGAAGCAGAATGAAGAAAGTAGAAAACAGAGGCGCTACAGCTAGCCAGAGTCCAAATGAAACAGGTAACAATGAAGAATTATTGGAGTAAATACTAATTAGAAAGTGGCATTTACAGCACCTACTTGGTGGTGAGGAGATAGTCCTTAGAGATAGTATCTGTAAGATCTCGGCAGGCACAGTGGTTCAGGCCTGTACTTTGGGAATCTGAAGCTGGAGGATCACTTGAGACCAGGAGTTTGAGACCAGCCTATCCAACATGGTGAAACCCCGTCTCTACCAAAGATACAAAAATTAGCCAGGGATGGGTGGCACACGCCAGTATTCCCAACTACTCAGGTGGCTGAGGCATGAGAATCTCTTAAACCCGGGAGGTGGAGGCTGCAGTGAGGTGTGATGACACTACTGTACTCCAGCCTGGATGACAGAGTGAGACTGTCTCAAAAAAGAAAGAAAGAAAGAAAAAAGAAAAGAAATATTATCAATTAATTACAGATTGTCAAGACTGAAAAATTTTTAAATATCATAAGGAGCATGGTTCCCAACCTTTTGGGCACAAGGGACCAGGGATTGGGAGTGGGATGGGATGGTTTTGGTATGATTCAAGCACATAACATTAATTGTGTACTTTATTTCTATTATTATTATATTGTAACATATAATAAAATAATGATACAACTCACAATAATGTAGATTCAGTGGGAGCCCTGAGTTTGTTTTCTTGCAACTAGACAGTCCCATCTGGGGATGATGGGAGACAGGCATTAGGTTCTCATAAGGAGTGTACAACCTAGATCCCTTGCATGCACAGCTCACAATAGGGTTCCTGATCCTATGAGAATCTAATGCTGCTCCTGATCTGACAGGAGGCGGAACTCAGGCGGTACTGCTCACTCACCTGCCTGCCACTGCTCACCTCACCTCCTGCTGTGCAGCCCACTTCCTAACAGGCCATGGACCAGTACTGGTTCATGGTCCAGGGGTTGGGGACTTTTTTTTGTTTGTTTTGAGACAGGGTCTCACTCTGTCACCCAGACTGGAGTGCAGTGGCACGATCTCGGCTCACTGAAACCTCCACCTCCCGGGTTCAAGCAATTCTTGTGCCTCAGCCTCCCAAGTAGCTGGGATTACAGGTTGTGCACCACCATGCCTGGCTAACTTTTTAGTACAGACAGGATTTTACCATGTTGCTCAGGCTGGTCTCAAACTCCTGGCCTCAAGTGATCTGCTGGCCTCAGCCTCCTAAAGTGCTGGGATTACAGGTGTGAGCCACACCACCCCACTGGGGACCTATTGTTATAAGGGACCTGACACAAAATTGACCTTCTGGCACAGACTGGTGTGCAGCAGTAACAATGAGGGGCCCCAGAGAGGATCAGCAGAATTAAGGAAACACAAGCAGAGAATTCAGGTCAAAGCTGAAGACCAGCATTCTCAAAGCGACACCTAACTCCAACTCCTCACTGCCAACTTAAAGACAAATAATTTATGTTTCATGTGAGAATTAATATGTCTTTTGCAAGTTGTTTTTAATTATGCTTATTAAGTACATCATAATTATGTGGTGATTCACATTCTCCATAAAGTGTGATATCCTAAAAATTCTTCCATGGAATTTTGTCAAAGAAAAATGAATTCGAAGGATCACACTTAACTATGTGGGCAAAAATTTTTGGCCAGAGAAGTAAGCAGATTCCTCATGAAATGTTGCCTGTACCAGACTTATTTCTGTAAGATTGTGTTAAGCATGGCACAGTGTCACCCAACTATTAGGCCCTTTTCATTTATTTACTGAATTGCCCACAGGGCCACAGTGTTGGTCTGAGATAATAATTACAGAATTGAATGATAGGAAATTCCACCTCTAAATCAGTTGGTCTCTGAAGGCCCAACAGAAATGGGTAAAGCAATTGCTAAAAATAGCTAGTGGGAAAAAAGGACAGTCCATGATATTCTCCCACCTCTTTCCTCAAAATAAACAAACAACAACAACAAAACTATGAATAATTGAATTTCAGTGATTTTTCACATCACACTTCAAAGCTCAAAGAGAAAGAAGTTTAATCTACGTAAAAGTACCAATTTCAGAATTTTAGTGAGAAAATAAAATCTTTAACAGAGATGAGAAAAAGGCACATTTGTGGTCTCTTATTCCTGCTATGTAAAACTTCGTAGTAAACCAAAACTACTAAGGAAAGAATGCAATGAAATTCTGGAATGTACCTTTGACTAGCTCCAAATTTGTTAAATATAATTTTGTAGCTTACCACATTTGTGGTAAAAATGATCTATATTGTGTTTAAATAACTCTCTTAGAGAACGAACCATTTTACTTAGAGTTTTTATTGGGAATGCCTGCTAAATTTTATAAAATGATATTCAGCCATGTATAGATACAATTATAAATTATAAGATTTTTGTTAATATATTTACTTGATTCATATTATGATAATGAAGAAACTTACATAAGCCCTACATATTTTTATTTTGGATTATTACTAGGTTCACTTTCTAATATTTTATTAGGCAATTTTGTGTCTTTCTTTAAAAGTAGCTATGTTTTACTTTTTTATTGGTTGGTTTACAAGGTTCTGGCATCAGAATTATGCTGGCTTCATGAATAAAGTAAGGATCTTTTAGTCTCTCTGGCCAGGAATAATTTAAATATTGTGAAATTATCTGTTCTGTATTATCTGTTTTGTGAGCTTATTCAGTATTAGTGCTTTTTAAAGGGTAGATCTAAAAAATCTCATATCTCATAATTTTTGACATATCTATTAATATTTTTTCCATTTCTTCGTAGGTCAATTTTACTAAATTTTCCTACATTTTCAAATTTGTTTTCATAATATTGCATGCGATGTTTCTTATTATTAACTATTTTTTACATCGATAGTTTTGTTTCTTTTCTCAATCCTAATCTTGTTTTTTATCTCTCTTCTTTTTTTTTTTTTTTTTTGAGATGGAGTCTCAGTCTTGCTCTGTTGCCAGGCTGGAGTGCAGTGGTGCGATCTCGGCTCACTGTAACCTCCATCTCCCGGGTTCAAGCAATTCTCCTGCCTTAGCCTCCCGAGTAGCTGAGACTACAGGCATGTGCCACCACGCCTGGCTAATTTTTGTATATTTAGTAGAGACAGGGTTTCACCATGTTGGCCAGGATGGTCTCCATCTCTTGACATCGTGATCTGCCCACCTCGGGCTCCCAAAGTGACCTCTCTTCTTAATCAGTCTCAAGGTAACTTTTCTGTTTTACTGGTCTTTTCAGACTTTCATAGTTTGTTATTTCTACTATGTTGTTTTCCTTTCCATTTACTTCATGTTTACCATAATCTATTCTTTCTTCTAGGTTTCTTTTGGTTTATTTTATTGTTCTTTTTATTAACTTCTTAAAATAAGGTATGCATTTCTCTATATTTTTGTCTTTATTCTTTAGTATTTAAAGCTACACATTTCCTTTTAGTGTAGCTTATATATATATAGTTATATATATATAGTAATTTTTATATATAGTTATATATATAGTATTTTATATATATAGTTATATATATAGTATTTTAAATATATAGTTATATATATATAGTATTTTATATATATATAGTGACTGCCTCTAATCTATAAATATTGAAGGATGTTAATCTTTTTGGTCACATATTTATATTGTTGCTTTTTTTATTTGATATTAGAGTATATGATCTATGTAATCTCTACTTTTTAAATGTACAGCTTTCAAGCAAATGTATGATTTTTTCATAAATGGACATAAGATTGATTATATATATATGTACGTGTGTGTGCAGAGATTATATATATACATACATGCATATATTCGTGTATACATTTGCATATTATAATTTATCTACTGTTATTCACTTTCTCACCTTCCTTGCCTGATTTTGACCTTTAATCTTGAAATAATTTTATTAACTATATACTATAGTTTGCTTTTTCTCACCTCTCCTTACATTTTCAATATAATTTCTTTCCAAATATTTAGGATGTATATTGTGTTATAATTGCTATATCAACATGAATTGTGCCTATTATGATTGTAAAAGTCCCTCTTTACACTGCTTTTTACTTTTGAGCTTATATCTAAGATTTTCTGATGAAATATTGACATTTTTGCCTTTCTTAATTTTGCATTTGCCTGGTATCTCTTGGCTTTTCCCTTTATTTTCAACCGTTCTTTATCACTTGGTCTGAAGCAAGTTTCTTGTAACAGCACATTGCTCGATTTTGTTTTTTTAACCTAATTTGACAGCTTTTGTCTTTTTATAGAATATTCAGTAAGAGGATTCAGTTTTCAGAATGAACTAGAGCACAGAAGGGGGACTGCCTCTGCATATTTAAGTAGATTGTATTCCAAAGATATGAACATTGTTGAGGCAGGAGAACTAACTAGCTTCTTACATAGAAAGGTGTTTCTATAGGGAATGCTCCACAGAATTCCAATTAATTGTTTCACAGATTAAGAGAGTCACCAGGGTTCCCTTGTAACATTTCTCATCAAAGAGTGTTCTATAGGGAAGAGATAAAACCTAAACAGTCCCGGAAGCTGAGACAAGAAACTGAAAAAAAAAGGAAAGTGAGCAACAAGATAATGTAAGTCACAACTGAGCCAATTAAGGAGCAGGAGATGCAGCAGCATGTCCCAAACAAAACTGATTGGAGGTCAAGTGTGGACAACCAGAGCAAGTTCTTGCACAGCTAATGTATCCCCAGGTGTGAACTGAGTAACATGAAGAAAGGCATCCTCCTGCCACCTCCTGGTGAGTTAACAAGGCAGGAACACTGCAGGCTGCAAAAATAACAGGCAATGCCAAAGGCAGAGATGGATCCAGTTTTGTAGGGACTGAAGCTTAAGCTGTTATTGGGGGCGGGTTGCAGGGGTAGGGGGCTTCTTTAAGAATAAGAATACAAAATTAGGTACAAACTTGAATATTTACTGAGATAGGGAAAGCAATCACAACAAATGACGGGGTCCTTGGAGATTCAGATCTTTCCCTTCAGATCTCTTTGGACATGATTACATGGAAATGTTTCCTGATTATAGCCAAGTGTTCCTTCTCCATATAGAACACCTGACAACTCCCACCTCTGTCAGGGGTCTTTTAGGTGAGAAGCCACTTAAGTTTTTAAGACCAATTAGCCTCTAGGTAAATCTGCCTTTGGTCCAAATGTTGGCTTCTACGGGAATAAGGGTAAGAGACCCATCTGCTCAGTATAGAATAAAGCAGGCAGCCAGACCGGGAATATAGAAAGCAATCCTAAAAAAAAAAAAAAAGAGGGGGGGTGTTGCCAAAAGGATGTGGTAGAAAATCAGTTAACTCAGATTTACCCATCAAAAATGTCAGGTGATTTGAGGACTCTGGTGTCAATGCATAATTTCTGAATCTTTAGTTGGTTATGGCATACCTTATTGATCATTAGAGAAACAGTGAAACAAGCATTAACTCCTGAGAAAAATACACCGAAGAAGGAGATTTTAGGACCTGTGAAAGTTGGACTTTTGGCAGCATAACTTGCTTTCCCAAAAAAGATGGGGCTAGAGTCTATAAAGAGAGAGGAACTAAATTAAAGCTTGGCCAATGTGGTGAACTTATACTAGAGCATTCCTAAGCTCACTCAGTCAAATCTTTTTACCTTGTCATTAACTAAATATAAATCAATTATGAAAGTTCTGAAGGAGCTAGAGTGCAGTTCAAAGATTGCTGAACCCATATGAATGAACTAGTCACATTCTTTTTTTTTTTTTGAGATGGAGTTTCACTCTTGTTGCCCAGGCTGGAGTGCAATGGTGTGATCTTGGCTCACTGCAACCTCCGCCTCCCGGGTTCAAGCGATTCTCCTCTCTCAGCCTCCCGAGTCACTGGGATTACAGGCGCCTGCCACCATGCCCAGCTAATTTTGTATTTTTAGTAGAGACGGGGTTTCACCATGTTGGTCAGGCTGGTCTCGAACTCCTGACCTCAGGTGATCCACCCACCTCGGCCTCCCAAAGTGCTGGGTTTACAGGCACGAGCCACTGTGCCCGGCCTACTAGTCACATTCTTATGCAGTCACTGAGGCTAGTATAAAGAGCATGATCCATTTGGCGAATCAGATCAAGTTCTCTAAAGTCCAGTGTCACAGCACAAGATAATGTGAAGTCATTTAAAGGAAGTTATTAATTGAAATTCTTTGTTGCAGAATCAGTAGAAAAAGACAAAAGCTTTTGATGGGATTATGCTGGAGTCCATGTCATGGAACCAAACTGGAAATTTTCTGGTGAGGCATCTTCCCGAATCTTTAGGCTTTGCCAGGCTTTGCTTCTAAAAGACTACTACCCACCAATCCCTTCCCCAGGTAGCTGGAAAATTAGAGACCTTCACTTGCAGTGTGGCCTGGATTAGCTGGGGAATTGGGTGAGCCTGAGTCAGGTAATGTACTAGGAGTCAAACCTCATTTAAGGTAGTGGTAGAAATAATGTCAGCTAAGGCTGGGCGCGGTGCCTCACACCTATTATCCCAGCAGTTTGGGAGGCCAAGGCGGGCGGATTGTTCGAGACCAGCCTGGCTAACATGATGAAACCTCATCTCTATTAAAAATACAAAAAAATTAGCTGGACATGGTGGTGGGCACCTGTAATCCCAGCTACTGGGGAGGCCAAGGCAGGGGGAATCGCTTGAAGCTGGGAGGCGGAGGTTGCAAAGAAAGAAAAAGAAATAATATCAGCTGAATTAGCAAAACTCAGAGTTAGGCTCACTGACCTAAGAACAAATCATGTGTATCTGCCATGAGTCTCTTACGTGTATTCACAGTGTTTTCTATGCATTCTCAGTCTTTGTAAATACAGGCTCTTCTTCCATTCCTGATTTACAGCTGATTCTCTGCTAGGGACTCAAACTTTACTTGACAACCCATTGAACATGCCAAAACCCTCGTTCTAGAGAATGGGCCCAATGTGTCTCAGTTTTATTTGTCTCCTGCCCCATACTAATGGACTTTATTTCCTAAAGAGACTCCTAGATCTATAACTTCTTGAAAGAAGAGTTTCTGAATTTTGCAAATGTCTGTTAACCCCTGTTATTGTGCCAGCTATATTCCTTCCCATTGGCAGCATCAAATAAATTTTTTTTTTATAACTGAGGTTACATGGTTACTTGTACAGAACCCTGGACTCTGAACAGGTTACTTATACAGAACCTTGGACTCTGAAGTCTGAGAAGTATAAATCATTCAATTTTTGTGTGTAGATTTTTGAGGAGATAAATCATTAAATCAGTTTTTGTGCCAGTTGATATTTGTTATAAACTTTCCTGTGTGAGAATCGAACATTAACAAAATTTGCCTTTGGTGTAACATTTACCTGGGGAGGAATATTTTTTAAACGTTAAGGAGAAACTCCGTCTTAAAATATTATTCACTATATACATTTTATTGAAAAAAGCATCTGCTATTAAGATATAGTTATGGCATGTTTAATTGGCGAATTTCTGTAATTTTTATGTTTTATTTATGTGGCCTAGCTACCAGATCATGGTTATAGAGAATATTTGGGGTATAGATTAGTCACTACATTTGTGAAGGTTTAGGAAGTATTTACTGAAATGAAAGACATAACCCTAGATGTTTTAAATGAATATTAAGAGCTCAATCTAAATATAGGAAAGTTGAACATTTGTCAAAAAGATTAATGGTGGAGCATAAAACCGTACTCAACTCTAACTGTAATTGTCAGGCAAACTGTAAATTCTATTGTTAATTGTGTAATAAATATAATTTATTGAATGTTTACTATGTTTCAGGCATGATTTTAGGCGTTTTGCATGAACTCTAATTCATTGAAATGTAACAACCTTATAAGGTAGGGACTATTATTACATCTTCCAATTATAATGTTTTAAAATAAAAAAATTGATAAGTATATTACAAAGCCTATTTAGTTTTAATTATATATTGAATCACAATGGGAAACTACTGTTTAAGGTTGTGCCTTTCAATATTATTTAAGATAGAAATAAAATTATAACTGATTATTTTTTATAGTCATTGCTATGAAATCCCATCAAGCCTCTTATAGAATTGACATACAGAATTTGATGTATTTCTCTGTGGTTATTTTTGTTGTAATCACCATAAACTATGAAATTAGAAAGGCCTGGGCACGTCCAAAATAAAATAAATCGACAATTTTTAAAAGTTTGACATGTCTTAAATTGTGTCATTTTGCTTGGAAATTTATTTTAACAATATTAAGGAACGTCTGGAATAGAATGTGCATAGAAAAGTGTTGATCAAAATTCATAAATGCTCAGGCACCACTGATGTCAAACACATAGCACTGTTTTAAAATAACAAGGTGAGTACAAAGTCTAATACTCCTTTATGCCCAATGGATACACAAGAAAGAAAAAAACATCTCCAAGCCAAACTTGAATACCAGTATTCACAAATTCAAAGACCACTATATCTAAGCTCTGATTGTAAAAACATTTTTAAAGAACATTTTCTCCTCCACTAATTATGTCAATTGCTTCCCTAGCAATTTACATTCATGAATCTTGGTTTCCAAGGCATTTTATAATGACATCATAAATGAATGAACAGAGGCTTTTCAGCCTTCCCTTTATGTGAAAATGGTTAAGGGCACCTTTTAAGTGTTCCCATTGTTCTATCACTGTGTACTTCCTCTGAGAATAATTGCATTACTTTGCCTACTGCAGGATATCCTTGAAAATAAAAACCAAGGTTTTATCTCAGTGGTAAATGTTCTGAAAACCTGAGACAATCATTGCTGTACTTGCTAATTCCCTTGCTGAAGCCCATGACCTTCACTGTCATCAATCTGGGAGAACAGCTTTCAAACAGTACCATTTTGGTGACTGAAAGTAAAATGTTTCTTCAAACCACCACAAGTCACATAACAACTCTATTTACATGTTAACAGAATAGCAGAACAGTTAACCAGAAGTTGCCATTAAGGTCTCTCAGACTGTTTGCATTACTTGAGGTGGTATATGTTTCCTAAAATAGCTAAATGCATTAATAATGCCCTATTTCAGTCTCACCTAATCCACGTATATATTATGACTATTGGAGTGTTACATATCAGTTCCTCTCCCTTTTTATTCCGTTCTTGCCTGGTCGAGATTCTCTCAGGGCCAGGTCATTCTTCTTATGGAATAAGGTAGAAGATATTGGATGTAATATAAATTACCCCTCTTAGACTATAAATTACTTGGGCTGGGCCCCTGCCAAGGTTCTTATTCAAATAAAGTCCAGTGGGTCAGGTTGAGTACTGACGTATCCTTCAAACAAAAAGGATATGCAAATTTCAGCAATCTTCTCTGTAGACATAATTTATTTCTTTTTATCAATTACAACAGGTCCCTGCAGGACCATGTCACCCAAAATAATGCATCAGATATAAGGACTTGTCTTTTACTCATTTACTTCTTGGACCTACTTAGAAAACTGTGGCAGCACTGTTTTGTTATTATTGTCTTAAGTGCATGATCCAACTTGGAAAGGTAAATTTTAACACTAAGGATCAAGGCATTTTTTGGCTTTAATCAGCTCTTAGTGATCTCTAATTTATTTAAGTAAAACAATACATTAAACTTCTATTTTAAAAATTAAAAATCTTGTTTCTCACCTCTTTCTCCTAGGAATACACTAAATGCTATTACAGGAATGACAATAAAGTTTTAAGTTCACATCTTAGTCTTTTTTCTGTTGCTATAACAGAATATCACAGACAGGATAATTTATGAGGAAAAGAAATGTATTTCTTATAGTTCTGGATGCTGGGTAGTCCAATGGTTCTGGATGCTGGGTAGTCTGGATGCTGGGTCCACATCTGGTGAGGACCTCTTGCTGGTGGAACACTGCAGAGACCCCATGTGACACAGGGCATCACATGGTGAGGGGACTCCCAAGACATGGCAAAACTGGCCTTTTATAACAGTCTCACTCTTGTGATAATTAACCCATTCCCCCTTAGTAACCCATTAATTCATTAATCCATTCATTTGTGAATGGATTTATCTGTTCATGAGGGCTCTGCCTTCCAAAGGTCCCACCTCTCAGCACTGCTGCAATGGGGATCAAGTTTTCAGCACATGAACTTTTGGGGGACATGTTCAAACCATAGAAATCCATATAGACAAATATAGAAAATAAGATTGCAGCATAAAAACTTTTATTTGGGAGAAGTGGGTACATGGGGAGATATAACTGACTTATCAAGGTAAAGAGAGCCCAACCTGAAGTGCCTCCTGACAAGAGTACTATTGACAAGCGGGCAAATTCATTGATGGATATTGTGCCTAGGACTTGGAGACACAAGGTACTCAAGTTGGCAATAATTAAACAGAAGAATTGCTAGAAAACAATATATAAAGCAGACAGAGTCCCTGAACTCTCTCTTACTTTAAAAGGCCAAGTTGTTAACTCTTCTTTATCCATGTCCCACTCCTGGGCAGGGGATCAAATGTTTACTCTCTGGAGAAACTGACCTAAAGAAAGTCTGGACAAACAACATTAAAAAAAGGCAGGAATAAAGGCCAGTGTCTGAAAACAGAGGGGATATTTGCATGGGAGAATTCCAGCGGACTGTGACAGTCTAGGATGTCTTCACACTGAATGCTGGTGTGTTGAGAGTCACTCTCCCACCCAGCTCCCAGAAGATCAGCATATTTTACCACCACTCCACTTCCACGCTTGAAAAGAAGAATGAAAGATTTAAAATATTTTCACATATTTATATTTTGGAGTTCCCCCAATGAACTGTCAACTCATTTTCTAATTACCCTATAATGAAATTTTGTCCACTAACACAAAATTCCTAGTTAGTAAATTTTAGTAAATAAGAAGTAGAAAATCAAGAAACCAGAAATCTGAGGAAAGCTGTCCAAAAAAAGAGTCAAAGCAAATAGAACAAGGGATATCATATTTGAAAATCTCAAACTATAACCTTCTAATTGAAATCATTAGCGAGACAAAGCTAAATCACATACATAAAGGGAAAATGAATGCTATGACAAATAAATAATCAGAAAAGAGTAAAGAATTTTGAAAATGGAAATATAAAGGCCAAACTAATTTAAAAAAATAAATAGTAGAGTTTTGGGTTTAAATAAGGTTGAATAAGCACGTTATCCCTCCTCTCCCAAGAAATACAAATAGAAGCCTAGATCGAATGCAGTAGATAGCAATCTGAGGACTCTCAACAGTAAATTGTAGCAGGTAGATTGGGTAAGAAAATTAGAATTGAAAATACTAAAAACTCAAGTGGTACATTTTCTGTTTTCATTTTGTTTTGTTTTGTTTTGTTTTATTCTATATAATACAGTCTCAAGTGCAGTCAAATCCTAAAACTATATACTAAGCATGGACAGAAATACCTCCAAAAGAATATCTGTCTCTCTCTTTTTATTTTTTTCACCAGAGAAGCAGGAATGGGAACCTTTATGGGACAGAGACAGTATCCTCAGGTTTTTGTTTCATTTTATTTTTCTGTTCTACCCAGGTTCCAGGTGTGTCTTAGTTTTGAAGCTTCACAGCAGCTGAGTAGTAGTGTGTGGTGAGCATAACAAATACCTAAAACTTTCAGGAAGGTGAATCCTTCTCTCTGACCGTGGGAACTATGGTCTGAAGATGAATGCCAATCGCAAGATAATTCAAATATTGAAATTATGAAACAATGACTTCCAAATCAGCTATGATAATGTGATCTACAAGCTAAGGTCTAATATCCTCAAAACAAATGGAAAGACAGAACATCTTAGCAGGGAAATAAAAGGTATAAATGAAAATAATGGAAATTTAGAACTTCAAAACACAATATCCAAAATCTGAATTATACTTGATTGCCACAGTTTGTCACAGTTACTATGGGACTGAATGAAGGGGGACGAACGCAGAAATGAAAACTTAAAACAAAAGTAACTATTTTAAAGAAAAGGGCCAGGGGAAGAAGAGGGCTCCCTGTTTCTAGTGAGCAAAGGCAGAAGTCCTGAGCTTCTGCAGCCCTTCATATTTATTGGGTAGAAAGAGCAGGGAGGAAGAGGTAACAATTGGTCAGCTGCTTAATTGATCACAGGTTCACCTTATTGCTAACAGGCTTCAGATGTGCCTAATCACAAGAAACACTGCGCTTGGGGCGTGACTGCCCTCAGCATTTCTTCTGGGCAGCAGACGCAGTTTGTCAATTTGCCAACATCCTGCTTTTATGAGAACAGTTTGCTGTTTACTCATATAGCCTCCAGTGGTATACTGAGTTGATCACGACTCTCATTCTCTCAGCCTGCAACATCTCTCCCTTTTTGTTTTTGCATTAATTAAATAAGATCTGTCCCTATGTCATGGGGGTTGATGTCAGTGTGATTCTGGTTGGTTCTTGTTCCGTCTTTGCATTCAGATTCAACTGGCTCATGGTTTGTACCGGGGGAACCAAGCCCATGGTTGGGATCCAGGGGTCCCTCCAGTCTCCTGTTCCATGGTCGCACACACCTTGAGGGCACCCACACGGTTTGATCGTCTCCTTATATTGCTGCTGGCAGACTCGTGACGGGGTTTCTCATTCATCTGGTAAGTTTCAGTTTCTCTGCTCCAGCAGACCTTCCTCATTCAAGTCCCAAAAGACCCTATCTGTCCCTGTCTGTCCCTGCAAGTTTCTGCTAGTCTCTACTAGTCTCTGTTAGTCTCTGCTAGTCTCTATCTATCCCTATAGTCCCTGTTTGGGTTCCACTTGCCGCAGTTTGCCACGGTTACTACGGGACTGACTGAAGGGAGACGAAAGCAGAAATGAAAACTTAAAACAAAAGTAACTATTTTAAAGGAAGGGGCCAGGGGAAGCAGAAGAGGGCTCCCTGCTTCTAGTGAGCAAAGGCAGCAGTCCTGAGCTTCTACAGCTCTTTGTATTTATTGGGTAGAAAGAGCAGGGAGGAGGAGGTAATGATTGGCCAGCTGCTTAACTGATCACAGGTTCACATTATTGCTAATAGGCTTCAGATGTGCCTAACCACAAGAAACACTGTGCTTGGGGTGTGACTGCCCTCAGCATTCCTTCTGGGCATCAGAAGCAGTTTGTCAGTTTGCCAACATCCTGCTTTTATGAGAACAGTTTGCTGTTTACTCATATAGCCTCCAGTGGTATACTGAGTTGATCACGACTCTCTCTCTCAGCCTGCAATGATCACGACTCTCTCTCTCTCAGCCTACAACACCTGATGGACTCAATAGCAGAATGAGAGTGAGATGACTGAAAGAGGAATCAGTGAACTTGAACCTAGATCAACAGAAACTATCCAATTTGAATAAGAGACAAAAGCATTGAAAAAAATGAACAACAGCTCTCCCTAGGGTATTGTGGTAAAATGCCAAAAGGTCTAATCTTTATGTCATCAGAGTCCCAGAAGAACATAAGAAAGGAAGGGTAATTTGGAAAAAAAATTATATATATGTTATAAATATATAAATATATATAAATATATATAAATACACACACACACACACACACATATGAGTAAGCAGATTGAATCAGTAATAAAAATTTGCCTATCAAGGAAAAGCTCAGGGCTGGATGGACTCACAAGTGAATTCTACCAAACATTTAAAGAAGAGTAGATACCAATTCTTCTCAAACTCTTCCAAAAAGTTAAATAGGGAATATTTTCATACATATTTTATGAGGCCAGTATTACCCCAATACCAAAACCAGATCAGGACACTATAAGGAAAAACAAACAAACAAACTATAGGCCAATATTCCTGATGAACATTGATGCCCAATCCTCAGAAAAATACTAGCAAACCAAACTTAGCAACATATTTAAAGAATCATTCGCCATAATCAAGTGGGATTGATCCCTGGGATGCAAGGGTGCTTTAACACACATAAATCAATAAATGTGATACATCACATTAACAGAATATAAGACAAAACCATATTATCTCAATAAACACAAAAAAAGCATTTGACAAAACTCAATATCCTTTCATGATAGACACTCTCTGATTAGGTATAAAAGGAATATACCTTAGCACAATAAAGGCCCTATATGGCAAACCCACAGCTAGCATCATACTTAATGATGAATAGTTGAAAGCTATTTTTCTAAGTCCAGGAAAAGACATCTTAATAGGAAAGGAAGAAATGAAATTGTTTTGTTAATGACATGATTTTATATATAGAAAACCCTAAAACAAGCTTGTCCAACCTGTTGCCCGCAGGCTGCATGAGGCCCAGGATGGCTTTGAATGTGGCATAACACAAATTGGTAAACTTTCTTAAAACATTATGAGATATTTTTGGCAATTTTTGTTTTTTAGCTCGTCAAATATCACTATAATTCATAACTGGGGACTTTTTTTTCTCAATTCTAGCCCATAATGGATACCAAGATATGAGGCATAAAGTTCTCTAACAATTCATATTCAACTTATTCATAGTACTTTGGTTTGCAAGACAAACGTGAAACTTGAGCCAACTTGGAGTGCCATTGGCTGAACAGTAATTGGTCTCAAGTCAAGAGTTGAAAGTTTAGCCAATTACTTCAAGTTAAGGTTGATTAAGTTTCCTGCCAATCATGTAATAATTCTGGGACTGCTATCATGATTCTAGATACTGAGTAAATAGACTAATCTGTTTAAACCTTTTTCAACTATTAAGTTTGGGCAAGATGGGTATACACTTACATACATAGGTTTATGTGTGTTCAGTAAGTGAATATGCAGAGAAATAAAATTTCATTCAAGAGAAACACTCATTTTTATGTTACCAATGTAGGAGGTGGCATAATATTTTTTAAGTATTTATAGTGGAATGGATATGCCTTGAAAACTGCCTCTGCCACCTTACCAACTGTGATATTTTACATAACTATTTAATTTCTCAAACTTCTGTTTTCTAATTTGTAAAATTTTAAGGGGTTATTTTGAAGAGGAATAGCATAAACAAGGAAGGCACATGTGATGCATGCCTTGACATTTTTCTTTCAGGTTCTTCCATGTAGTAGGAAAGAGTATTAGTCTGTTTGCATTGCTATAAACGAATACCTGAGGCACAGTAATTTATAAAGAGGTTTGGCCAGGCTTAGTGGGTCACACTCATAATCTCAGCACTTCAGGAGGTCTTGGTGGGAGGATCGCTTGGGGACAGAAGTTAAAGAATAGACTGGGTTAGTAGACACTCTTTCTACAAAAAAAGAAAAAAAATTATCTGGATGTGGAGGGTCGCTCCTGTAGTCCCATCCACTCAACAGGCTGAAGTGGGAGAATGACTTGAGCCTGGGTGGTTGAGGCTGCAGTGAGCTGTGATGACACTGCTGTACTCCAGCCTGGGTCTTTATCTCAAAAACAACAATGACAAACAAACAACAACAACAAAGACATTTATTTGGTTCACAAATCTCCAGGGTGTACAAGAAGCATGGTGCCAGCATCTGCTCAGCTTCTGATGAGGGCTCTGGGAAGCTTTTACTCATGGAGGAAGGCAAGGGGAACCAGCATGTCACATGATGAGAAAGGAAGCATGAGAGAGAGGTGCCAGACTCTTCAACAACCAGGTATCATGTGAACCAACAGAGTGGGAACTCACTCATTACCAGGAGGAGGGCACCAAGCCATTCATGAGCGATCTTCCCTGCTGACCCAAACACCATCCCACCAGACCCCACCTCCAACATTTAGGAACATATCCCAACATGAGATTTGGAGGGGACAAACAGCCAAACTGTATCAGAAAGTTGGCTGTCAGTGGTTCTGACCTCACTAAATTAGGACTCTTTGATCAGAGGAGGATAAGGGGTTTTTTATTCTCTTTCTTGACCTCTCATACTTACTGAGAACATTCTAATTTTTTTGATCTCCTTAATTATGTGTGGAAGAGTAAGGTCCAGAGCCCAAGATTTGATCTCTAATTCTACTCAGTGTTCTCTCTGACACTTAAATCGATACTTTAACTAGTTTTATTTATTTATTTAGAGACAGAGTCTTGCACTGTTGCCCTGGCTGGAGTGCAGTGGTGCAATCTCGGCTCACTGCAACCTCTGCCTCCCAGGTTCAAGTGATTCTCCTGCTTCAGCCTCCCAAGTAGCTGGGATTACAGGCGTCCACCACCACACCCAGCTAATTTTTTTCTATTTTTTAGTAGAGACAAATTTCACTATGTTGGTCAAGCTGGTCTCAAACTCCTGACCTCGTGATCCGCCCACCTTGGCCTCCCAAAGTTCTAGGATTACAGGTGTGAGCCACTGTGCCTGGCCACTTTAACTAGTTTTAAAACAATTGTTACTTTAGCACAAATTCTACCTATCATAGAAATAAGGATGCAGTTTATAGGGAGTGTCTACGTTATTTTTCCTCCTTGTTTTCATGGTATTTCATGTTTTCCTTGCTCAGACCAGACTCATGCAATCGTTAGCTCTCAACTCATAAGTGAACACCTGTTACTGGATTTAATTAAAGTGACTATACACAGCTGTTTTATGTATTTTTCAGAATTTCTGATGTCACTCTGTGGGTGTTCCTTATTGATTTAGCTGATCCATCAGTTGGCTTTGAGGCCTGGACTTTTAAGATGCCAGTTCTGGATTTCCCAGATCTTTCATGGACTGTGTAGATAGTGAATATTTTCATGAATAATATTAAGATGTAGTATGTACATAAAAATTAGCACAGAACAAGCTCAGCTTCTTCGGAAATAGCACGATAAACTAACAACATTTATTGAGGGTCTGGTAGACAGAGTTCTAAAATGTTCCTATAAGGTTTCCCAACTTAATACCCGGTACTGTGAAAATGACGAGAAATATCTTTATCCACTCGTTGACTGACGGGCATTTGGGCTGGTTTCATAGTTTTCCGACTGTGAATTGTGCTGCTATAAACATGCATGTAGAAGTATTTTTTTCGTATAATGGCTTCTTTTCCTCTGGGTAGATACCCAATAGTGGGGTTGCTGGATCAATGGTAGTTCTACTTTTACTTCTTTAAGGAATCTCTTCACACTGTTTTTCATAGTGGTTGTACTAGTTTACATTCCCACCAGCAGTGTAGAAGTGTTGCCTGTTCACCACATCCATGCCAACATCTATTATTTTTTGATATTTTGATTAGAGACATTCTTGCAGTAGTAAGGTGGCTTTGATTTGCATTTTCCCGATTATTAGTGATGCTGAGCATTTTTTCATATTTTTGTTGGTCATTTGTATATCTTCTTTTGAGAACCGTCTATTCATGTCCTCAGCCCACTTTTTGATGGGATTGTTTGTCATTTTTTTCTTGCTAATTTGTTTGAGTTTCTTCTAGATTTTGGATATTAGTCCTTTGTCAGATGTATAGCTTGTGAAAATTTTCTCCCACTCTGTAGGTTGCCTGTTTACTCTGCTGACTGTTCCTTTTGTTGTGCAGAAGCTCTTTAGTCTAATTAAGTCCCACTTATTTATCTTTGTTTTTGTTGCATTTGCTTTTGGGTTCTTGGTCATAAAGTCTTTGCCTAAGCCAATGTCTAGAAGGGCTTTTCTGATGTTATCTTCTAGAATTTTTATAATTTCAGGTCTTAGATTTAAGTCCTTGATCTATCTTAAGTTGATATTTGTGTAAGGTGAGAGATGAGGATCCAGTTTAATTCTCCCACAGTGGCTTGCCAATTATCCCCAAAATTGTCATGTGTATATATATATGACAAAATACTAGTCAGTCATAAAAAGGAATGAGTTAGTAACACTCACAGCCACCTGGATGAAATTGAGCACTATGATTCTAAGTCAAGTAACTTAGGAATGGAAAACCAAACATTGTGTGTTCTCACTCATAAGTGGGAGCATAGCTATGAGGATGCAAAGGTATAAGAATGATACAATGGACTTTGGGGTCTCAGCAGAAAGGGTGAGAGGGGGGTGATGGACAAAATACTACAAATTGGGTTCAGTGTATACTGCTCAGGTGATGGGTGCACTAAAATCTCACAAATCACCATAAAAGAACTTACTCATGTAACCAAATACCTGTTCCCTGAAAACCTATGGAAATAAAAAATAAAATAAAATAAAATAAAATAAAATTAATAAAAGCAAGCATTGTGCCAAAAAAGGGAATATGATGAGAAATCACAAGTGTTATTATGCTACCTTTCATGGCGAAAGGGATTTGGCAAATATATTAACGTTACAAATCAGTTTACTTTGAGTTAATTAAAAAGGAGATTATCAGGGCGAGCTTAATCTAATTACATAAGCCATTTAATACCATAATATATATCTTTTTCTCTCTGGTGGAAGAAGAGAAAGTCAGAGAGAATCAAAGCATGTGAAGAGAGACCTCACGCAAGGAGGTCTAGGAGCCTAGAGTGATCTTCAGCCAACAGTCAAAAAGATAACTGGGACAACCACAAGGAACTGACTTCTATAAGAGAAATGAGCCTGGAAAAGGACTCCAAGCTTCAGATGAAAATGTAGTTGGCTGACACTTTGATTTTAGTCTTGTGAAACCCTAAGCAGAGAATCCAAGTAAGTCCCCCTGAACTTCTCACCTAAAGAACAATGAGTTAATAAATAAGGGGTATGATAAGTCATGAAATATGTGGTAATTTATTACAAAACAATATATAATGATACAGATACCTATCTGGTAGCCAGATATTATCCTAAGTATTTTCCACAAGACATTTAATTTGATTTAATTAACACGCAACTCCATAAGAGACAGATCCTTTTAACTATTTTGCAGGTGGTAAACTGAGGCTCAAGTAATTTATGTGATTTGTCTAAGGTCCCATAGGCTATAAGTGTCAGAGCCCAGATTGAGAAGTGTTTGGCTGTTCATGCAAGTGCAAGCAGCTTTCATTAAACTATTCGCAGAAGTCTGTCAGAATAGCTAGCAAGGATACCAACTATCTAGGGAAAGTCACACCAAAGGAGTGACCCAAAGAAACACATTTTAACCTGAACTGCCTGGTAATACACTGAAGGCAAATCAGCCCCAAAGACTAAAATTGTTAATTTTCTGTGATTCCTCGCTGTTTTATTTAATATAATATGACCTTAACCTAGTCTTGATATTTGATTTCTGAACAATGAGTCAAGAGAGTTGCCTTCTCTATGTAGTAGTACTTTACTGTTGTCAAAGACTTGTCCTTTGGTGCTTCATATTTTGCTTTACCTACATGGAACATTGCTAATTTAGGTGATAGCCTAACTATTTATAGTTAAATACACCCACCAAGTTCCCTTTACCCTTCAAATTAACTAAAAAGAAACAACTTCCTACTTCTTACACCACATAAAATTCATATTTTGCTTTAAATGTAATTTTTCAGCAAAGAGCCTAGTGGAGTTCACTTAAAACTAACCAAATCAGCTGTTAAAATTGTCCATTTGATCACATGGGTTATAGGCATAGTTATTTGACTGAGTTATGACAATGCTCAGAAACAGAAAAGACAGTCAAAGGTTATCATGTAAGTTCAATAAAAATTCAACAGTTGTTTTTAAAGATTTTCATATGATAATATTGTTTCACTTTCTATTACCCATATTTGATTTCATTTACAAATAAAATACTACCCACTCTATGAATCATGCTTTTATCTCAAATATATCTAGAGTGAATCTCTATGATTTTTAGAATACAGAAATATACATTTTAAAAAGATTTTAACATTTATTGTAAATAATTTAAGACAACTTTTAGATATATCACGTGAGTGTTTAACTCAATTTTCATGACCCAGCTGGCCCAAATTAGTCTTTTTTATAAATTGTTTTTTGAGTTGAAATTATTCTTTCACACCTAAAGAACTCTATCTGATGCTCTAGAGAGAAATATTCAATTGAACTTCACAATGTAGAACATTTCCTGCATTCTCCATTGTAGACTGTGATGAATAAATCAATATGTGCTTACTAAAAACAAATGATACAATTTAAGGAAATATATTATTTTGAGTCCTGATTCAAAGAAAATAACCAAATATTTAAAATTTATTTAAAATTTGTACTGTTTATTTATATAATTATAACATCTTCAAAATCAATAATGATTTTCTTCATTTAGTATTTAAACATAACTATTTTCTCATAGTACTAGAGTCGCCATAAGCATCACTCTATGGCTATATAATTTCTGACATGTGCTTTTATTGGAATTCATTAATAATTTCATTATTTTTAGGTATTTAGATCATGGCCCACTTTCCCCTACAACCACGATACCTGTTTAAATTGACAAATCATAGTTGTATGGATTTACGGGGCAAAATGTGATGTTTTGATATACGTATATGATACAGTTTGATTAAATCAAGCTGCTTTAACATATCCATCATCCTGCTTACCTATCATTTTTAATAATGAGATATTTGAAATGTATTCTCTTAGTTATTTTCAAATACATAATACATTATTATTGACTGTAGTCATCCTGGTGTGCAATGAATCTCAAGATGAATATTTCCATGAACATTAAAAAAAATTCTTCCATTTTGAAATGTCACTTTTCATTAATTGTGACTCTGATACTTCTCCGCTTGACATCTCCACTTATGCAATAAAAAAATTCATTGTACACTTTATCTTCTAGGGACTTGACACGTGCAAGCCCTTCACTTTCATTTTTTTCTAAGCCAGCTTTCTCCATCCCCTCATATCAATGCCTCAGCATCCAGTGATTAAATCCCAGCATTTCTATCACAGTTTATCTCCATCACAATATTTCCTGTTTTGCAGTATAACTGGTGATTAACTTTAATTACAATCATGACTACTCTATAGCAGAGGCCAAAATGATGATTACACATCATGTTTCATAATATTTTTCAGTTAGATGAAGCTTCAGTGCAGCTACCCTGCTAAAATAACTAATTTGCATATCATTATATAGAGTTCAAATGAACTTATTTTATCCACTCCCACCCATTAGTCATCTTATTGCAGTTTAGAAAATATATTGACTCTGGACCATGAGTCTGTAGGTGAAGGTAACAGTTATAATGATGAAAAAAAATTTTCTCAGGTCATTCTGTATTTTTCCTGATTTAATTGATTATATCACTCATAGGCCATCAAGGCACCACTAGAAACTTTTCTATTAAACATAGTACTGGAAGTTCCAGCCAGGGCAATCAGTCAAGAGAAAGAAATAAAGGGTATTCAAATAGGAAGAGAGGAAGTCAAATTGTCTCTGTTTGCAGATGACGTGATTGTATATTTAGAAAACCCCATCGTCTCAGTCCAATATCTCCTTAAGCTGATAAGCAACTTCAGAAAAGTCTCAGGATACAAAATCAATGTGCAAAAATCACAAGCATTCCTATACACCAATAACAGACAAACAGAGAGCCAAATCATGAGTGAACTCCCAATCACAATTGCTACTAAGAGAATGAAATACCTAGGAATACAACTTACGAGGGATGTGAAGGACCTCTTCAAGGAGAACTACAAATCACTGCTCAAGGAAATAAGAGAGGACACAAACAAATGGAAAAACATTCCATGCTCATGTACAGGAAGAATCAATATCGTGAAAATGGCCATACTGCCCAAAGTAATTTATAGATTCAATGCCATCCCCATCAAGCTACCACTGACTTTCTTCACAGAATTGGAAAAAACTACTTTAAACTTCATATGGAACCAAAAAAGAGCCTGCATAACCAAGACAATCCTGGGCAAGAAGAACAAAGCTGGAGGCATTATGCTACCTGACTTCAAATCAAACTATGCAAGTCTACAGTAACCAAAACAGCATGGTACTGGTACCAAAACAGATATATAGACCAATGGAACAGAACAGAAACCTCAGAAATCACACCCACATCTACAACCATCTGATCTTTGACAAACCTGACACAAACAAGCAATGGGGAAAAGATTCTCTATTTAATAAGCATTGTTGGGAAAACTGGCTAGCCATATGCAGAAAACTGAAACTGGACCCCGTCCTTACACCTTATACAAAAATCAACTCAAGGTGGATCAAAGACTTAAATGTAAGACCTAGGACCATAAAAATCCTAGAAAAAAACTTGGGCAATACCATTCAGGACACAGGCATGGGCAAAGACTTCATGTCTAAAACACCAAAAGCAATGACAACAAAAGCCAAAATTGACAAATGGGATCTAATTAAACCAAAAAGCTTCTGCACAGCAAAAGAAATTATCATCAGAGTGAACAGGCAACCTACAGAATGGGAGAAAATTTTTGCAATATATTCATTTGACAAAGGGCTAATATCCAGAATCCACATAGAACTTAAACAAATTTATAAGAAAAAACCAAACAACCCCATCAAAAAGTGGGCAAAGGATATGAACAGACACTTCTCAAAAGAAGACATTTATGCAGCCAACAGACATATGAAAAAATGCTCATCATCACTGGTCATTAGAGAAATGCAAATCAAAACCACAATGAGATACCATCTCATGCCAGTTAGAATGATGATCATTCAAAAGTCAGGAAACAACAGATGCTGGAGAGGATGTGGAGAAATAGGAATGCTTTTACACGGTTGGTGAGAGTGTAAATTAGTTTAACCATTGTGGAAGACAGTGTGATGATTCCTCAAGGATCCAGAACTAGAAATACCATTTGACCCAGCAGTCCCATTACTGGCTATATACCCAAAGGATTATAAATCATTCTACTATAAAGACACATACACACATATGTTTATTGCAGCACTACTCACAATAGCAAAGACTTGGAACCAATCCAAATGTCCATCAATAATAGACTGGATAAAGAAAATGTAGCACATATACACCATGGAATACTATGCAGCCATAAAAAAGGATGACTTTATGTCCTTTGCAGGGACACGGATGAAGCTGGAAACCATCATTCTCAGCAAACTATCACAAGAACAGAAAACCAAACACCACATGTTCTCACTCATAAGCGGGAGTTGAACAATGAGAACACATGGACATGGGGCGGGGGAACATCACACATGGTGGCCTGTCAGGAGGTGGGGAGGTAGGAGAGCGATAGCATTAGGAGAAATACCTAATGTAGGTGACGGGTTGATGGGTGCAGCAAACCACCATGGCATGTGTATACCTATGTAACAAACCTGCACATTCTGCACATGTACCCCAGAACTTAAAGTAAAATTTAAAAAAGATTTAAGTGAACCCAGTAATAACTATTATAATTTATTGAATATGTGCTATTAGTGTAGTACTATGCTGAGTTTAACATATGATCCTATTGAACTTTTACAAAAAGACTCTGAACTGAGTCTTAGAAAAGTTGGGCAACTGACTGAGGTCATTTTGTTGGCCAGTAGCAGAGCCGAGATCTAACCTCAGGTTTATATTACCTCCTGAGCCAAGGCTCTAAACCTGCGGTTTCATATAGAAATATCTTTGAGGGATGCTTCACAGAGATGGCTGTATCTTCCTATACACAGTATATGAAGGTCATACCATTGTGTATTTACTCACTCACTCACTAACTCACCTTACAAACTATTTAAGGAGGGCTCACCATTTCACAAGCACTAAGTATCATTTGTAACTTCATTCAATGTTGAAGTTCCTGCTTTACTGTTGCATAAGGAGGCAATTCAAATGACTTGAAAAGGGTTTGAACATTTTCTCTTTGGGACATGAGAGAAGTC
Source organism: Homo sapiens (assembly GCF_000001405.40). Lineage (NCBI taxonomy): Eukaryota > Metazoa > Chordata > Mammalia > Primates > Hominidae > Homo > Homo sapiens. Next base: position 31,897,909 of record NC_000009.12, on the reverse strand, counting down.
TTTTGTACAGAGGCTTCAAAATTTAAGGTTCTTTTCCTGGGGAAGGAGCATAACAGATATGAGAGTTTACTGTAAGACTTACTGAGTCTGGAATACTCTGAAGCTTGAGCCCTATCAGAGAAAGTTCTACTCACAGAAGGCTGGAGATTTCCAAGAAAACAAAACAAAACAATGTGTAAACATGAAGATGGAAGTTTTGTGGCTGTGATGTGATTACTCACAAAAGTGTGGGTGCAGCAGCCTAAGGCGTTGCAGAAGTTGGGGATATTCACTCTCCTCTCAGGTCCCATGCTATCTGCACTGGGGAATCATGGAGGGTGATAAATGTGGTAAGAGAGAAGTTGAAACAAAGAGCTAAAACCAGACGACTTGGCCAGATGCCCACTCCAGATCTCTAATTGTGTCTTTAACAGGAAAAATAAAATTGTATATTTACTATATCATAAATCTGAAGAAGAAATGTTTATAAATTCTGCCCCCAACCTCTTTTTTCCCGTTAGAAAGATTCAGTGTTTCCGAGTATGTAGCGTATTGATCAAGGTTTTAGCCATATGGTTTCCCAAGAACTCTAAGGAAATACACCTGTAAAGGTAAAAGAAAGTAGTAACATTAGAGAAAATAATACAGAGGGAGAAATTACATGTGTGTTTTAGCATCTCATAACCCCATTAAATACTTCATTGATTTAGATTGTCCATCCCTATAAACTCTTAAACGAAAACTTATCAAACATATTCAGATATTTGTAACTTTTCAAAATCTCAATACTAATATTGTTTGTCCACCTTTTACAAAATAACTTCATTTATATTAAAGAGATTTTATATGTTTACTGTGAAAAAATTAAGGTCAAGGACAGATTTATAAAAGATAAGGAAGAGACTTCTCTACATTCTAGCCAACAATTCGCCATTTTGGATAATAAATCCAAAAAGCAACACAGTTGTTTTCTAGTTTATGGGTGATAATTAAATTTATCTCACCTGCTAGTGAAGCTTCACTCTTTTCAATTATTTATAGTCCTTTTGCATTTCATATATGCAAACTGTCAGTTTTATTGATCAAGATGATTGTGTGGATTTTTTTACCCTTTGACTTGATAGATTTCCTCATTTTGAACCATCTTTCTATACCCATTGACTATTTATGTCATGTATATTGTGCTAGGTGCTAAAGATTCAATGGTGCATATTCATTCTATCAGTAAATCTTAGTTCTTGGAACAAAATCTATCCCAAATCAGACCACGTCTCACCATCTCCACTACTAAAAGCATAGTGTAAAGCACCATCATCTGTTGCTTAAGCTACTGCAGTAGTCTCCCAACCAGTCTCCCTCCTTCACTCTTGTTTATTTGGTGATGGACCAACCATCAGAATGGGTAATAATAAAATTACATTTCCCAAAGGAAATGATCCCAATCTTTATCCCATTCCTATTTTACTCATACGAAAATTTACTCATCTCTAAAAGCCTTGCCTTCCCAGAAAAATAGAGAGAAGGTAGAGGTATAAATAAGAGATTCCACCATACCTTTTATCTAGGGTAGTGTATCTACCCTGGAGATTTACACAAAATGGGCAAGTCCGGTGCCTTTTCCCTGAGAAATTCTGTTCTAAGTTGAAGGACTATGGTTGACTCACATAGGAAAGTGCTGTCCAATTTTCTCAGTAAAACCTTCTGCTACTTTAGGTTACATAGGAACACATGTTTAATAATGATAATGATAATAATTTACAAGGAGACCTTAGCCTCTCATAGATACCACGGAATTACAAATGTTCTCATTGATGATAAATAGCACTAATTAAGATGCTTTTCTCTCTTAACATAAAATATAATGATTTATATCCCAATAAAGCAAGAATACTCAATTCCCTGGGATACTTGCATGAGATTTCTGAAATCTTTAATGCCTTTCCCTCTTGTTCTATTCACCTCAGAATTGTTTTTGTTTTCATTTTACTTATAGAGGTTTCTACTCAAGTTAGTTTTCATCTCAATGAACCTACTTCATTTTTTTTCAGACTTGCCAAGCTGCTACTGTTAGGTTTGCTCATATGAATCCTATGGAGTCAGAATGACTGCTGTGTTAAAAATGATTGCATTCAAACATATCCATGGTGCAAAAGTTCTCATATATATATATAGAAGGTAGGCTGTTATATACCATTAAGGTGACTAGAGCAGCCTTCTTACCTTTCTGTTATGTTACCTTCCTGAATATAGGTGAATAGAGTAAGTACAGAATACTACACTCATGCTTGCTTCTGCAGATGTTTCCTTTCTGCATATGCTCAGCTTTAGATGTCACATTACTTACACTCAGATATCTTAAATAGCAAATAACTTTCTTTCAGTGTCAGCAAAAATTTTTAATAGTCTTCTTAACTACAGAATTCAAAAAGTATCACCTTCCAGGAATTTAAGTTCAAATAAAGTAAAATTACTAGTCTTGTGTTTAAAATAAAATGAAAAGTCTCTTAGCTTTTTGAGTATAGTTCATTGAGACAGCATCCTTTCACTGGATGTTGTGGAATTCATACTTGCTAAAAATGTAGTTGCTCCCAGGGTTTGTTGCAAATATTTAGACAGTTTGCCTGCACTTATTAGCATGTACCCCTGATGAAAAGGGGAAGGCTAGGCTTGAAAAGACAGGGTTAAACCGAGTTGAATCAAAATGACATTGTAAGAAGCATCACATTTTGCTCTTTAGCATGAGGAAAAATTCATAAGTTGAGTGCCTATGCAGTTAAATAAATCTAAACTAATTGTAATCACCATACTATACTCATATTACCACTGAAGACGTCAAGTTTAGTTTCACAAATTTAGAGTGCTGGGATCCTTTCAGAGAAGCCCACAAACCAACAGTGCTTATTTGACAGTAAGTCATTAGAGGTCTACTGGTCATTTAAAAGTAGAGGTATTTTTCATTTGCATAGCTGTCTGGGTATGCTGCTCCAGTAATATACCGCCTGGGTGATTGCATTTGCAAATGTGTTAGAATATTCAGTTAACGTATGCCATCCTAAACATGGATGGGAGAAAAAGCCCAGGCTGTTTTTAAACCTAATAGATTTTGAAAACCTGGAATATAATTTGAAGCTGAAGCCTCCAGGGATGTGAGTTCTGCAATAGCCCGTTGCAAACAGTTTTTTCTTGCAGAACTACTCCATAAGAATAGCTGCAGTGCAAATATTGGCCTGTCAGAAAGTCAAAAACTGTGTCAAGAAGTGATTTCAAGGAAGTAGAATATGAGTTTAGTGTGAGGCTTAGAATCAGACAGACCTGATTTCTGATCTGGGATCCACTGTTTATTAGCCAGGCACATTTTTTAACCTTGCTGAGTCTCAGTGTTCTTATATGTAAAATGGGAAGATAGTGCCAGTTTCCTAAGGTTGTTTTAAAGATTAAATAAGATAATATGAACACAGCATGCTGTGCTCAACAAATGTTCCGGCTGCAACTGATTGTTGTTGCGATTGAAGCTACCTGGGTTTCCTTAAAGGCTATACATCTATAAATCATCTTCTGAGGTCTCAGAGAGGAACTTTTCTCTGCAATGGAAAAGTGTTGCCTGCATAATTATCTCTGTGGCAGAGCTCCTCCTACCAAGAGGAAGCAAGGAAGCACTGTTCCCCGGGATCAGGGTCATACTCAAGGCCATATGTTTGAACCTGAGCTCCCACTTTTCCTCTCCACAAGTGCTAGTACACGTTCCTGCTCTGCTGCAGGAACTTCCAGAGATAAGATGGTCCACTCCGTAGCAGAGAAGATTCCATGCCAAGTTGGCTGATCTCTGGAGGATAATGCTTGTATGTTACTCACACGGCCACCTTCCCAAAATGAAGCCTGTTTCAAGACAGCTGGGTTGGGTGGGCTCTCTTTTTCCTCTCTATTTCTGATACTCCTGCCTCTTCTCAGATTTAGTGCTAAGCCAGTCTACAAGACAGTATTTTCTGATACCAAGTAAAATTTTAGTTCAGGGACTCTGTTGTCCTTACCTGCTGCTTAGCATTGGTTAGCATCACACTGTCCTGCCTCAATACATTCTTCCTAACTTTAATCTTAGTGTCTCAGTTTCTTCCCTTCCAGGAGGACCCTGGGCTCCAAATGCAAATTGGTATACCCTCTGTCCAGAACTGTGCACATCAAGATAGAAAAGCTGTTTTACAAAGACATAGAAAATGGGCTCCAAGTTGACATTCTGAATCAACCTCTATTATATGTTGAAACCTCTAGCATAATTTTCATGTTCTAATTCATCAGTCATCCTTCTACATTATTTCACCTAATTGCCAAATAAGCATTATGTGTGGGAAATATTATCATCTCTATTTCATATGTAAGGAAGTTGAACCATAGTTCAGTTACATGCCTAAGGTCATCTAACTAATAATTGAGAGAGCTAGGAGCTAAGCTCAGTTATTATAAATCCAGCAATTATTCTTCAGAAACACAGAAACCTATTTTTTCTTTGGTCATTTTAAAGTAGTAGTCTATACATAAGAAATACACTTGCCTATTTTTTATTAGATCATTTTAAGATAACTTTTTAAAAGCAGACTGCATTGCTGAAACAGCTATGTATCAACATTAATTGAATATAAAATAAAGTGATTTGAATAGATTGAGTATCCCTAATCGGAAAATCCAAAATCTGAAATGCTTAAATGAGCATTTTCTTTGAGCATCATATCAGAAGGTTTCAGAGTTTTGAACATTTTCAATTTTGGATTTTCAGATTAGGGCTGCTGAATATAATGCAGATATCCCTAAATCTGAAAAAAAAAAAAATCCAAAGTTCAAAACACTTCTAGTGCCAAAAATTTCAAATAAGGGATACTCAACCAGTATTACTACAGACAAATTTGAAGAAATAATATCACAATACTTATTCCCATCAAGCACTACTTAATGTAAGCCTAATGTTCTTTCTTCTGCTTAAGAATTACTTGCTCCAAACTTCTGGTGCTTCTTATGCCAGAGTCCGGGACTCACTCTGCTTGGATATCAAGCAGTCTTCTAAATGCTTCCCCTGGCCTCAATGTTCTCCATCTGCCATAAGCTTGCAAATGACAGACTTATGGGTTTAGAGCTAATAAGAAAAAAATGTCATTTTTAGCTTTCCTGTTTTGCTGATCAATACAACATACTAGAAAGAATATAAATTTGCAGCCTGACAGATATGGGTTCATAATTTACTCTTCACAAACTCTGACACATTACTTAAATTCTTTGAGTCTAGTTTTCTCATTTGTAAAAATGATTAAGGTAAGTCACTCAACTGAAAACTTACTGTTCTAGAAATGAAACACTTGCCTGTTTGACTCCAAGGCCAGTGCTCAGTCCACCAGACCATGCTGCCGCTGGGGATTTCTCTCTGGCTCTTGTGTTCTAATTTTCAAAAATAAAGTTATGAGGTGGCAATTAAAAGTCCGCCACAGCCTTTGTCCTGGGAATCATGGCCCTTTAAATGTCTCAGATCAAGAATTCTACTTCTTGATTTGGAGTATGAAATATTGAATATGCATGTTTTCTTTGTGAAAGGAGTCACATATATCCTCAGAATTTCAAAGGAATCCTTGCCAAAAAATATTAAGAATAATTTCCTTGTAATCTAAAATATTTCCTGACTTTCAATAGTGAATAACGTATGCCTGACAGGGGAAGCTCCTTGTAGTTCTTGGTTTTGGTGCTAGTATCCCATGACCCTGATATCCTGATAACCTGCTGTAAATCAACACACATTTACAGTCTGGAGACTGTCCCAAAACACTCATCCCAACACTCCTGACCAGTCGATATTATACCAGCAATATCCCTTTTCAAGGTTCCACACATATGAATGAACAATTCAAGGATTTGTAAATAATAGAGAGAAAAGATGTGTGGTATAAAGGGAAAGCTATTCAAAACCTAGTGCAACTTAATAAAGACATTGATAAAGTAGAAAAAACCCTCCCATGCTTCATTTTTGGATGCAGAGTCATTGCTTTAAAAGAACAAGGTAGGCCAGGCATGGTGGCTCATGCCTGTAATCCCAGCACTTTGGGAGGCTGAGGCAGGCAGATCACCTGAGGTCAGGAGTTCAAGACCAGCCTGGCCAACATGGTAGAACCCCATCTCTACTAAAAATACAAAAATTAGCCTGGTGTGGTGGCGGGCACCTGTAATCCAAGCTACTCAGGAGGATGAGACAGGAGAATCGCTTAAACCCAGCAGGCGGTTGCAGTGAGCTGAGATCAGGCCACTGCACTCCAGCCTGGGCGACGCAGTGAGACTCCGCTTAAAAAAAAAAAAAAAAAAGAGCAAGGTAGACAACAGGGCAGATTAGGGAGATGGAAATGGTGATCCTGCAGATTGCTGAAGGGAGGTACCATTGGCTATGTTCCTGCCCTTTCTAGAGCTGGGAATATTTATATCTACTTTAATGTCCAGAGATGTCTGAGAACAACTGCTTATCTCAGGACCTAACAATAATGTGTAGCTGCAAGTTATTTGTTTTCATGAATATCTTTAGTTTTGGTGTAGGGAGCAGTTTACACCTGTTACAGGGTATAGGGACATGTCTATTGACTGGCAACATCATGGAATTTCTGGAACAAATAAGAGAACAGTCTGTATTGGGAGAATGAGAAGTAAGCTATTTACAATAAAAATATATTGTAAACAGGGCAAGCACATTTCTTGGTACTTAAAGAACTGGGTAGTACATGCTTTTTCATTATGAATATAATAAAAGCTGCCCATCCCTGTTTACATTTATAGAGTTTTACTTTCTTCATAGCCTAACATAAATTTGCTCAAGCTATATAAAGAAAAATAAAGTAAAATATTCCTTTACTTGCACTAAAAAAGGGAACTAATGTTTAATGAGTGCCTATAACATGACGCACACTAGGAGGAAAAGACACAAAAATTCTTGAATCAGTCCTGTTGTTCTATGATGTTCAGAGTGGAAGTAACAAAAGAGGCTTAGAGAATTATGTGAGGTTCTCCTGTGACACACAGCCTTGTAAGTGGCAGAGCCAAGAGTCAAACCCAGCTCCCCTGACTCCCTGTCCAGTGAACCATCCATTACTTGACACTTGATAAAGAAGAATTCCAAGAGGAAGAAGATGTTACCTGTGGAATTGAATACAGGAATTCATGCTAGGCTAAGAAATGATCAGCACTTTAACGTGGAGCAAGTTTTACATAAAGCCCCTGCTTGAGTGTACCAAACTGAGTTTTAAAGGCATTCCTATTTTGATAGTGTACCCAACTGGAAAGTTCTTAAAGTGACACACTTTTCCACTGTAGGGTTAGCTAACATTATAAACAATAACTAATGAATACTTTATGAGCACAGTAACTAATTCAACATGACTATAGCAATAGGTTATTATGCTTTGTTATTACTCATTCATTCAACACCTCCTTATTGATAGATTTCTGTATCTAGATGCTGGGGAAACCATAGTGGCAAAAACAGACTTAGTAAAATCTATATCATTTAATGGATATGTGCATAATCATCTGAAATTTTTAAATTTTCTGATAGTTTAAATTATTTTTGAAGAGTTCAGTTCTCACTTCATATAGGCAGAGAAAGTAGCAGGGTGATGCTGTAGTACATCCCTCCCAATTTGAGCTCAAAAGACCAGAATAAATTTAAGACAGGGATATCTCCATCTATTCACTCTTTGGCATTATAGCTCATAGCGTTAATCAGGAATATGGGGATGAGGACATAGTAGAATCCAAACCAACAGTTCAAGTAAACAGAATGAGGGGATCCTGGACTTCCACTGTGTAATGCCCCATAGAAAAAGAACAATAAGTTAATACTTAATTGAATCAATGTTAATTGAAAAACCATAAGGGGAAGAGACTGTGACTTTTCCTTCACCAGTAACACTACTACTAAAACCCACTAGAAAAGTTGGATAGAGAATATTACAATCTGCATGTTTGAAAGTGCTTAAAGCATGTGTTAAGTTAAACTTGATATTCACCTACGTTTTTCCCTTTATAATATATGCCAATTTATAAGTGGTAATCTAGATACTAAGACACTGAGCAGTAACTGTTGGCAATCTCACAGAGCAGAGAAAGCAAAAATTGGAGTTTTGGGAAGGTCAACTAGAAGAAACCATAGAAAACAGTACAGGCTTTCAGCTGAGGCAAACAAAGGGGAATCCACAGGAATGTAGATAAACTAGAAATAGACTAGCACCCATCAAGAATGAAACCAAGCTTTAAATCAGCTCAATCCCAGACCGGATTAAGATTACCTGCCACTAGCTAACTGCCTGATAGAAACAAAACACAACTTCTCAAGCAAAGATGATCTCACCCAGAGCTTAAATTATCGCTGTAATTTTCTGAAATTTATAGTGCTCAGCATTTACGGGAAAATTACCCGGCATGCCAGGAGAAAAGAACAATTGGCAAAAAACCAAGAGAAAATAGAAACATATCCACAGAAGACTTTGATTGATTTTAAAATAACCATTATTAGCATGTCTAAGAAATTATATGACATAGTTTAGTATTTCATCAGATACCTGAATCACATAAAAAAAGAATTTAATGGAAGTTCCAGAAGAGAAAAAAATAATAAAAATTTAAGAGCTTCGGTTGGGTTCCAAGATGGCCAAATAGGAACAGCTCCAGTCTATAGCTCCCAGTGTGAGCGACAAGGACGACGGGTGATTTCCGCATTTCCAACTGAGGTACCAGGTTCATCTCACTGGGGCTTGTCAGACAGTGGGTGCAGTGCACCGAGCTTGAGCCAAAGCAGGGCGAGGCATCACCTAACCCGGTAAGTGCAAGGGGTCAGGGAATTCCCTTTCCTAGCCAAGCAAAGTGGTGACAGACGGCACCTGGAAAATCGGGTCACTCCCACCCTAATACGGCACTTTTCCAATGGTCTTAGCAAACGGCACATCAGGAGATTATATCCCACACCTGGCTCAGAGGGTCCCATGCCCACAGAGCCTCGCTCATTGCTAGCACAGCAGTTTGAGATCCAACTGCAAGGCGGCAGCAAGGCTGGGGGAGGGGCACCCACCATTGCAGAGGCTTGAGTAGGTAAACAAAGCAGCCAAGAAGATCGAACTGGGTGGAGTCCACCGCAGCTCAAGGAGGCCTGCCTGCCTCTGTAGACTCCGCCTCTAGGGGCAGGGCATAGCCGAACAAAAGGCAGCAGAAACCTCTGCAGACTTAAATGTCCCTGTCTGACAGCTTTGAAGAGACTAGTGGTTCTCCCAGCACAGAGTTTGAGATCTGAGAACAGACAGACTGCCTCCGCAAGTGGGTCCCTGATCCCCGAGTAGCCTAACTGGGAGGCACCCCCAAGTAGGGGCAGACTGACAGTTCATATGGCCAGGTACCCCTCTGAGACGAAACTTCCAGAGGAACGATCAGACAGTAACATTTGCGGTTCAGCAATATTCGCTGTTCTGCAGCCTCCGCTGCTGAGGCAGACAGGGTCTGGAGTGGACCTCCAGCAAACTCCAAGCGACCTACAGCTGAGGGTCCTGACTGTTAGAAGGAAACAACAAACAGAAAGCACATCCACACCAAAACCCCATCTGTACATCACCATCATCAAAGACCAAAGGTAGATAAAACCACACAGATGGGGAAAAAACAGAGCAGAAAAACTGAAAATTCTACAAATCAGAGTGCTTCTCCTCCTCCAAAGGAACGCAGCTCCTCACCAGCAATGGAACAAAGCTGGACGGAGAATTACTTTGACCAGTTGAGAGAAGAAGGCTTCAGATGATCAAACTTCTCTGAGCTAAAGGAGGAAGTTCGAACCCATGGCAAAGAAGTTAAAAACCTTGAAAAAAGATTAGACAAATGGCTAACTAGAATAACCAATGTAGAGAAGGCCTTAAATGAACTGATGGAGCTGGAAACCATGGCACGAGAACTAGGTGATGAATGCATAAACTTCAGTAGCCAATTTGATCAGCTGGAAGAAAGGGTATCAGTGATGGAAGATCAAATGAATGAAATGAAGCGAGAAGAGAAGTTTAGAGAAAAAAGAATAAAAAGAAACGAACAAAGCCTGCAAGAAATATGGGACTATGTGAAAAGACTAAATCTATGTCTGATTGGTGTACCTGAAAGTGGCAGGGAGAATGGAACCAAGTTGGAAAACACTCTGCAGGATATTATCCAGGGAAACTTCCCCAACCTAGCAAGGCAGGCCAACATTCAAATTCAGGAAATACAGAGAATGCCACAAAGATACTCCTCGAGAAGAGCGACTCCAAGACACATAATTGTCAGATTCACCAAAGTTGAAATGAAGGAAAAAATGTAAGGGCAGCCAGAGAGAAAGGTTGGGTTACCCACAAAGGGAAGCCCATCAGACTAACAGCTGATCTCTCAGCAGAAACACTACAAGCCAGAAGAGAGTGGGGGCCAATATTCAACATTCTTAAAGAAAAGACTTTTCAACCCAGAATTTCATATCCAGCCAAACTAAGCTTCATAAGTGAAGGAGAAATAAAATCCTTTACAGACAAACAAATGCTGAGAGATTTTGTCACCACCAGGCCTGCCCTAAAAGAGCTCCTGAAGGAAGCACTAAACGTGGAAAGGAACAACCGGTACCAGCCACTGCAAAATCATGCCAAATTGCAAAGACCATTGATGCTAGGAAGAAACTGCATCAACTAACGAGTAAAATAACCAGCTAACATCATAATGACAGGATCAAATTCACACATAACAATATTAACCTTAAAAGTAAATGCCTAAATGCCCCAATTAAAAGACAAAGACTGGCAAATTGGATAAAGAGGCAAGACCCATCAGTGTGCTGTATTCAGGAAACCCATCTCATATGCAGAGACACACATAGGCTCAAAATAAAGGAATGGAGGACGATCTACCAAGCAAATGGAAAACAAAAAAAGGCAGGGATTGCAATCCTAGTCTCTGATAAAACAGACTTTAAAACAACAAAGATCAAAAGAGACAAAGAAGGCCATTACATAATGGTAAAGGGATCAATACAACAAGAAGAGCTAACTATCCTAAATATATATGCACCCAATACAGGAGCACCCAGATTCATAAAGCAAGTCCTTAGAGACCTACAAAGAGACTTAGACTCCCACATAATAATAATGGGAGACTTTAACACCCCACTGTCAACATTAGACAGATGAACGAGACAAAAAGTTAACAAGGATATCCAGGAATTGAACTCAGCTCTGCACCAAGCAGACCTAATAGACATCTACAGAACTCTCCACTCCAAATGAACAGAATATACATTCTTCTCAGCACCACATCACACTTATTCCAAAATTGACCACATAGGTGGAAGTAAAGCACTCCTCAGCAAATGTAAAAGAACAGAAATTATAACAAACTGTCTCTCAGACCACAGTGCAATCAAACTAGAACTCAGGATTAAGAAATTCACTCAAAACCGCTCGGCTACATGGAAACTGAACAACCTGCTCCTGAATGACTACTGGGTACATAACAAAATGAAGGCAGAAATAAAGATGTTCTTTGAAACCAACAGGAACAAAGACACAACATACCAGAATCTCTAGGACACATTTAAAGCAGTGTGTAGAGGGAAATTTATAGCACTAAATGCCCACAAGAGAAAGCAGGAAAGATCTAAAATTAACACCCTAACATCACCATTAAAGGAACTAGAGAAGCAAGAGCAAACACATTCAAAAGCTAGCAGAAGGCAAGAAATAACTAAGATCAGGGCAGAATTGAAGGAGATAGAGACACAAAAAACCCTTCAAAAAAATCAATGAATCCAGGAGCTGGTTTTTTGAAAAGATCAACAAAATTGATAGACTGCTAGCAAGACTCATAAAGAAGAAAAGAGAGAAGAATCAAATAGACGCAATAAAAAATGATAAAGGGGAGATCACCACTGATCCCACAGAAATACAAACTACCATCACAGAATACTATAAGCACCTCTATGCAAATAAACTAGAAAATTTAGAAGAAATGGATAAATTCCTCGACAGATACACCCTCCCAAGACTAAACCAGGAAGAAGTTGAATCTCTGAATAGACCAATAACAGGCTCTGAAATTCAGGCAATAACTAATAGCCTACCAACCAAAAAAAGTTCAGGACCAGATGGATTCACAGCCAAATTCTACTAGAGGTAAAGGAGGAGCTGGTACCATTTTTTTTGAAACTATTCCAAATAATAGGAAAAGACAGACTCCTCCTTACCTCATTTTGTGAGGCCAGCATCATCCTGATATCAAAACCTGGCAAAGACACGACAAAAAAAGAGAATTTCAGGCCAATATCCCTGATGAACATCGATGCAAAAATCCTCAGTAAAATACTGGCAAACCGAATCCAGCAGCACCTGAAAAAGCTTATCCACCATGATCAAGTGGGCTTCATTTCTGGGATGCAAGGCTGGTTCAACATACGCAAATCAATAAACGTAATCCAGCATATAAACAGAACCAATGACGAAAACCGCATGATTATCTCAATAGATGCAGAAAAGGCCTTTGACAAAATTCAACAACCTTCATGCTAAAAACACTCAATAAATTAGGTATTAATGGGACGTATCTCAAAATAATAAGAGCTATCTATGACATACCCACAGCCAATATCATACTGAATGGGCAAAAACTGGAAGCATTCCCTTTGAAAACTGGCACAAGACAGGAATGCCCTCTCCCACCACTCCTATTCAACATAGTGTTGGAAGTTCTGGCCAGGGCAATCAGGCAAGAGAAAGAAATAAAGGGTATTCAGTTAGGAAAAGACGAAGTCAAATTGTCCCTGTTTGCACATGACATGATTGTATATCTAGAAAACCCCATTGTCTCAGCCCAAAATCTCCTTAAGCTGATAAGCAAATTCAGCAAAGTCTCAGGATACAAAATCAATGTGCAAAAATCACAAGCATTCTTACACACCAAGAACAGACAAACAGAGAGCCAAATCATGACTGAACTCCCATTCACACCTGCTTCAAAGAGAATAAAATACCTAGGAATCCAATTTATAAGGGATGTGAAGGATCTCTTCAAGGAGAACTACAAACCACTGCTCAATGAAATAAAAGAGGATACAAACAAGTGGAAGAACACTCCATGCTCATGGATAGGAAGAATCAATATCATGAAAATGGCCATACTGCCCAAGGTAATTTATAGATTCAATGCCATCCCCATCAAGCTACAAATGACTTTCTTCACAGAACTGGAAAAAACTACTTTAAAGTTCATATGGAACCAAAAAAGAGCCTGCATTGCCACGTCAATCCTAAGCCAAAAGAACAAAGCTGGGGGCATCACGCTACCTGACTTCAAACTATACTACAAGGCTACAGTAACCAAAACAGCATGGTACTGGTACTGAAACAGAGATACAGAACAATGGAACAGAACAGAGCCCTCAGAAATAATACCACACATCTACAACTATCCGATCTTTGACAAACCTGAGAAAAACAAGAAATGGGGAAAGGATTCCCTATTTAACAAATGGTGCTGGGGAAACTGGCTAGCCATATGTAGAGAGCTGAAACTGGATCCCTTCCTAACACCTTATACAAAAATTAATTCAAGATGGATTAAAGACTTAAATGTTAGACCTAAAACCATAAAAACCCTAGAAGAAAATCTAGGCAATACCATTCAGGACATAGGCATGGGCAAGGACTTCATGCCTAAAACACCAAAAGCAATGGCAACAAAAGCCAAAATTGACAAATGGGATCTAATTAAACTAAAGAGCTTCTGCACAGCAAAAGAAACTACCATCAGAGTGAACAGGCCACCTACAGAAGGGGAGAAAATATTCACAACCTACTCATCTGACAAAGAGCTAATATCCAGAATCTACAAAGAACTCAAACCAATTTACAAGAAAAAAACAACCCCATCAACAAGTGGGCAAAGGATATGAACAGACACTTCTCACAAGAAGACATTTATGCAGCCAAAAGACACATGAAAAAATGCTCATCATCACTGGCCATCAGAGAAATGCAAATCGAAACCACAATGAGATACCATCTCACACCAGTTAGAATGGTGGTCATTAAAAAGTCAGGAAATAACAGGTGCTGGAGAGGATGTGGAGAAATAGGAACAGTTTTACACTCTTGGTGGGACTTTAAACTAGTTCAACCATTGTGGAAGTCAGTGTGGCGATTCCTCAGGGGTCTAGAACTAGAAATACCATTTGACCCAGCCATCCCATACTGGATATATACCCAAAGGATTATAAATCATGCTGCTATAAAGACACATGCACACATATGTTTATTGTGGCACTATTCACAATAGCAAAGACTTGGAACGAACCCAAATGTCCAACAACGATAGACTGGATTAAGAAAACGTGGCACATATACACCATGGAATACTATGCAGCCATAAAATAGGATGAGTTCATGTCGTTTATAGGGATATGGATGAAGCTGGAAACCATCATTCGCAGCAAACTGTCACAAGGACACAAAACCAAACACCGCATGTTCTCACTCATAGGTGGGAATTAAACAATGAGAACACTTGGACACAGGAAGGCGAACATCACACACTGGGGCCTGTTGTGGGGTGGGGGGAGTGGGGAGGGATAGCATTAGGAGATATACCTAATGTAAATGACAAGTTAATGGGTGCAGCACACCAACATGGCACATGTATACATATGTAACAAACCTGCGCGTTGTGCACATGTACCCTAGAACTTAAAGTATAATAAACATATATATAAGGAAAAAAAAATTTAGGAGCTTCATACATTTTCTCTTGTGATGGAATGGCCCAAGACTCCTAAGAATATGTTCTTTATTATGTCCAACATTTGCATATGAAGGGATAATTACTACAAAGAATCTCAGAACCCTGTGGTAAGACCTTGCAAGGCCTGTTTGTCACATCCTAAAACAGCCTTACTCCACTCAACTTGACTACCTTTGACTCATCAGATCTGAAACTGTGAAACTGCTTTTGATGTCACAAATCTGAATTACATGATATATTCTCTATGCACTATAAACTTCTCTATGTTCTCTTACACTAACACACAGAACACTGTGTTCTCTAACACTTCTATGCTATGCTGTCATCGCACTATAAACTTTTCCTACATTTACAAAATATTTACTTATGTTAAAAATGTAAAGAAAAACTTTTACAAGATTGTATATATTCAAGTTGTACAATGTAGTGATGTTATATACATATAAATTGTTAAATGATTACCACAATCAAATTAATTAAGATATCCATCACTACCTATGTTGAGCCTTAGACAGCAGGAACTTTTAAATAGTATAACTGAATAAGCTTTCCCTACCTTACCATTTATCACATAGAACTTTAATTAATTAGTTATTTATCTTTATTTCCTACTAGACTCTGTTCCGTGACAGCAGACAACCGTCATGCTGAAGCTTTTCTGTTTAACACCTACCAAAATACCTGTTGTAAATTTGCCCCTGGGTTCAAATAAAGCATTCTGCCTCCAGCCTGATACTTCATAATTTGACCATGGGCTCCATTTTATTACAAAAGAGTACATATCCATGTCTAAGAGAAATTCTGAAAGGAGGCTTCCACTGTTCATAAGGCACTACTTTATTAAATATAAGGATGACAGATGATTTTGGTACATTTATTTTCTATGAAAGCATGTTGGATAATGACACAGATTTAAGTAGAATAAATTAAGCAAACACATATTAACATTTTTCATTTTTCAGAGTGAGGTCTAAGGACCAAGGTGATTCATGAGTCAAATGAGGTACTGGAACACTTTTACTGAAAAGTTCTTTGATTGTTCCGAAGCATCTGTATTTGTTCTCTCAGGGTTAGGAAATGTCACTTGAAGAAAATGCAGGTAATAATCACATCAGGGTAAATAGAGTATCCATTACCTCAAGCATTTATCATTTATTTGTGTTACAAACATTCCAAATATACTATTTTAGTTATTTAAAAATGATGGATACCCCATTTACCTTGATGTGTTATTACACATTGTATGCCTGCTTTAAAAATCTCATTTATCCTATGTATACACCTACTATGTACCCATAAAAATTAAAAATTAAAGAAAAGAAAATGCACGTAGGCATCTGAAGTTCAGCCTAGCGAAAAGGAAATAGAGCCAGGAGGAAGGGGGAGCTTAGCTTCAAGCTGTTCCCTTAGCTGAAACTGGACTAGGGGAAACGAGGTGGGAAAACTTCCTCTTGGCTACAGCTTTATCATATTCAGAGGAGAAAGCATAAAAAACAAGTTCTTTCATTGTCCCCCTACACACACCCCGCTTCCTATAGGGTGCTTAATCCATCGTATGGCTACTTTGTGCTATAGTGGGAAACTCTCACACATAAGCTTCAAGAAAATCCTGGCAGCATTTAGGAGGAGAGTGAGCGTGACCGAAGAGAATCCATCTACATAGTTTTCCCATGAATGCAAGGCCTACCTAGAGTTTTTGTGCAAGAATGAGTGGAAGGAATGTATAGCATGGAGTTTATTGTCTCTCAAAAATTACTATAATGAAAAAGGGGAAAGCTTCAGTGTGCATATATGTTCTTCTGGAAAGGTTTTACAACAAGCCAACCAACCACCCAGCAAACCTAAACAAAACTAAAAAATCTAGAATAAATAGATCCTGTTCTGTGCAATCAATAAAACTGTAAAACTAAATATAATATTAACTCTAATAAAAAAGATTGAAAAAGAATTCATACCAATGACAATAAAATAAAAAGGAAGATGACTGTAGTTAAGGAAGGTGAACTAATTATAACTTAAAAATAGAATTTTAAATAACACACACATGAATAAAGAAAAACCTATACCAAGTAAAATTACAGAAATGATGTGGAATATAAATTTGAGAGAGGTAAAAATAATATGAGAAGAGATTATATATATATACGGCAAACGGCATCAATGTATATATACAACATTAGGAGTCATGAAGAAGAGATAGCAAAAGGAAAACAAGAAAATGATCTAAGATGTATTGGAAGAAAGATTTTCTGATGTGAAGATAAATTTGCAAAGTTAAAATGGCTTGCAGTAGTCCCAGAAAAATTAAATAAGCAGGGCTCATACAAATATATATGTTAAATAATAATTATTATAATTAATCTAATCAATTATATGATAATTATAGCCAATAATTGTTAATTATAAAATGTTATTATTGATTACATGTTACTTATATAATTATGATAATTTATTATTAGTAATTAATAATTATTATTATTTTATTTAAAAAACCCAACTTATAAGCATTGAAGAGCACTGAGCCCCGTGGTCCCTCCCTCTATACCACAAAAAACAGTTTTATTAAAAGAAGAAATACTAGATCATCCTCAGTCAATTTACATCATTAAAAATAAGGAAATACCTAATGTAAATGATGAGTTGATGGGTGCAGCAAACCAACATGGCACATGTATACCTATGTAACAAATCTGCACTTTGTATACATGTACCCTAGAACTTAAAGTATAATTTAAAAAAAAAGGAAGGAGTAAAAAAATGTATCTATAGGGTTTTGAGAATAAAAAAGGTCTGTGGCTAGAAAGTGCTTTACCCAGTCAAATTGTCATTTATATATGAAAACAACAGCAATATAATGTTAAATACACAATTCTATGCTTCATATACAAATTACTAAACGTTGCATCTCAGGCAATGGGATGATGATTTAAAATAAGTTCTCAAGAATGGGAAAAGTTATCAATAAAAAAGAGTATCAGTGACTAGTACTTAAGTGAAAAATGTAATCTAAATTTAAATATAATTACAACTAAAAATCCAAATGCCGTAAGTCCTGAAAAAGAGTACACTAACATAATAACAAACATTAAAAACAAAAACAAATGAAAAATCTGAGACTGTATATCTCTCAACAAAACAACAGTTGAGAGAATAAAGATGTGAAGAAGTAACTTTGTTAATTCAGTTGATGCAGGTCAGAATAAATGCACTAATTTTTTTTTTGGTTAGTAATTTGAAAATATAATTCCAATGTTGAAAATGATAATATAACGGTACTAGCTACTATTATTACTTATTTTAATTTAATAATATGTGTAATAATTTCTTCATTTGTTATTAGGACATTAATTTTTTTTTTTTTTTTTTTTTGAGACGGAGTCTCGCTGTGTCACCCAGGCTGGAGTGCAGTGGCACAATCTCGGTTCACTGCAAGCTCTGCCTCCCAGGTTCACGCCATTCTCCTGCCTCAGCCTCCCGAGTAGCTGGGACTACAGGCACCCGCAACCACGCCTGGCTAATTTTTTTGTACTTTTAGTAGAGACGGGGTTTCACCGTGTTAGCCAGGATGGTCTTGATCTCCTGACCTCATGATCCGCCTGCCTCGGCCTCCCAAAGTGCTGGGATTACAGGCGTAAGTCATTGTGCCCGGCCTAGTACATTAATATTCTTTATTAATACAACATGATAAAATGTATACAACTTTAAAAATTGGCTCAGAAAGATAAAAAGGAAAATTATCTCCATGATACTTTGGACACATGATATAAATGGGGCTATGAAGAGAAAACTATATGAAATTTACTGACAGACTTTTAAAATGTGACATTATACTTGTATTCACATAAAAAGTCTTTAACCTCAAAATTTTAATTCCCAGTAAAGTTATCAATTTCAATCTTGATCAAAGTCTCTATGGATTGCTTTAATTATATGCTCAACAGTGAAGCAATCAGGTCAGTACAAAAAAAAATGTGCTGGGAATTTATGGTAGTGTTGCTTATTGTAGTGAAAAATTAGAAAGAGCCTAAAATTCATTATTAAAGAATTAACTAAGCAAAGTATGACATAGATCTATATTACAATGCAGTCATTATAAAGAAAGATGAAGATCTATGTTTCTTGAAATGGAAAGACTCACAAAACATGTTATTTATTAGAAAATATTGAAAAATGACATATATGATCTTATTTATGTAAACAACACAGGTCATTTATATATGAAAACAACAACAATACTATGTTAAATACACAATTCTATGCTCCATATAGAAATTACTAAACCTTGCATCTCAGGCAATGGAATGATGATTTAAAATAAGTTCTCAAGAATGGGAAAAGTTATCGATAAAAAAGTATCAGTGACTAGTATTTAAGTGCAAAATGTAATCTAAATTTAAATTTAAATTTACCTATGTGTTACACAAGTAAATGTGTATAAAACATATTTGTAAAATATTTCTAGGCTGCACATGGTGGATCATGCCCATAATTCCAGCACTTTGGGAGGACAAGGCAGGAGGATCAGTTGGGGCCAGGAGCTCCTTAAGGTCAGCAACAGCCTGGGCAACATATTAAGACCCCATCTCTACAAAAAATAAAAAATAAAATTTTTAAGTTAAAATTTAAAAAAATTTAGTGGAAATTTCTAGGTATAGAGAATTCAGGGAATTTCTTTTGTGCTATTTAGCTTTCTGTATTGTTTAACTTTCTAAAAACATGTAATTTAAAAAATAAAAATATTAACATATAAATATTACTGAAAAGCACACAAAACAAGAAGCATAATGGCAGGCTAGCCTGTATGAGGGACAAAGAGTTGGTATTCTGTAATAAGGATTTTTACAAAGCATTTAGGAAAAGACAAATATTTTAATTAAAAAGTGCAACAAAAAACTGGAAATCACAACAAGAAAAATACAAATAATGTTTAATAGCAAGACCTAAATAAGTAAATAAATGAATAAAAAAATGGCATATCTTGTTGGCAATATATTTTGCACCAAATAGGCACTCAATATATATTTTAAGTCAAAATTGCAGAAACAAATTATCCACTGAAAATAGATTTTTTTAAATGAAAATTAGAGCAGGAAATAAAGTTTTATCTTTTTAATATGTAAGGACACACAAAAACGTTTACATGTTAATATTCAATGCTAGCAGAGGTGAGAAAAATTGATATTCTTATACTCTGCTGCTCTGAATATAAACTACTAAAAATACTTAGAGATAAATTTGCTTGTATTTATGAAAATCTCATACTATTCTAAGGATCATTAATTTCATTTATTTTGTAAAGATGTGTGTGAAAGCACGTTTAGTGATAATTCAGAGTAGACTAAAACTAAAGACAAAAACCACATGATTATCTCAATAGATGCAGAAAAGGCCTTTGATAAAGTTGAACATCCCTTCACATTAAAAACTCTCAATAAACTAGGTATTGAATGAAATATCTCAAAATAATAAGAGCCATATGTGACAAACCAACAGCCAATATCATATTGAATGGGAAAAAGCTGGAAGCATTCCCCTTGAAAACCAGTACAAGACAAGGATACCCTTCTCACCATTCCCATTCAACATAGTATTGGAAGTTCTGGCCAGGGCAATTGGCCAAGAATAAAGGTATTCAAATAGGAAGAGAAGAAGTCAAACTATCTTTTTTTGCAGATGACATGATTCTATATTTAGAAAACCCCATCATCTCAGCCCAAAAGTTTCTTAAGCTGATAAGCAACTTCAGCAAACTCTCAGGATACAAAATCACGTGCAAAAATTACTAGCATTCCTATACACCAACAACAGGCAAGCCAAAAGCCAAATCATGAATGAACTCCCACTCATAATTGCCACAGAAAGAATAAATTACCTAGGAATACAGCTAACAAGGGAAGTGAAGGACCTCTTTAACGAGAACTACAACCACTGCTCAAACAAATCAGCCATGACAGAAAAATGAAGAAACATTCCATGCTCATGGATAGGAAGAATCAATATTGTTGAAAATGGACATACTACCCAAAGTAATTTATATATTCAATGTTATTCCCATTAAACTACCATTGACATTCTTCACAGAATTAGAAAAAAATATTTTAAAATTCATATGGAACCAAAAAAGAGCACAAATATCCAAGACAATCCTAAGCAAAAAGAACACAGCTGGAGGCATCATGCTATACTACAGGGCTACAGTAACCAAAACAGCATGGTACCGGTACAAGAACAGACACATACAGACCAATGGTGCAAAACAGAGAACCCAGAAATAACACCACACACCTATGACCATTGGATCTTTGACAAACCTGACCAAAAAACGCAATGGGGAAACGATTCCCTATTTAATAAATGGTGCTGAAAACGGGCTAGCCATATGCAGAAAATTAAAACTGGACCCCATTCTTACACCATATACAAAAATCAACACAAGATGGATTAAAGACTTAAATATAAAACCAAAAACTATAAAACTCTAGAAGAAAATCTAGGCAATAGCATTCAGGACACAGGCATGGGCAAAGATTTCATGATGAAGATGACAAAAGCAATTCCAACAAAAGCAAAAATTGACAAATGGGTTCTAATTAAACTAAAGAGCTTTCTGCACAGCAAAAGAAAGTATCATCGGCATGAACAGACAACCTAAAGAATGGGAGAAAATTTTTGCAATCTATCCATATGACAAAAGTCTAATATCCAGCATCTACAAGGAACTTAAACAAATCTACAAGAAAAAAACAAACAACCCCATTAAAAAATGGGCAAACGACATAAAGAGACACTTCTCAAAAGAAGACAAACATGGGGCCAACAAACATATGAAAAAAAACTTATCATTAGATAAATGCAAATCAAAACCACAATGAGATACCATCTCATACCAGTCAGAATGGAGTAAAAACTTAACAGACACTGACGAGGTTGTGGAGAAAAAGGAACGCTTTTACCCTGTCAGTAAATTAGTTCACCATTGTAGAAGACAGGGTGGCAATTACTCAAAGACCTAGAAGCAAAAATATCATTTGACCCAGCAATCCCATTACTAGGCATATACCCAAAGGAATATAAATTATTCTATCATAAAGATACATGCATGTGTGTATGTTCATTGCAGCATTATTCACAATAGCAACGACACAGAATCAACTAAATGCCCATCAATGATAGACTGGATAAAGAAAATGTAGTACATATTACACCATGGATTACTATGCAGCCATAAAAAGGAAAAAGATCACGGGGTGGAACAACACACACTGGGGCCTGTCAAAGGGTGAGCAGGGGAAGAGGGAGAGCATCAGGAAGAATAGCTAATGGATGCTGGGCTTGACACCTAGGTGATGGAATGATCTGTGTCACAAACTACCATGGCACATGTTTACCTATGTAACAAACCTGCACATCCTGCACATATACCCTTGAACTTAAAATTAAAAAACAAATAAATAAGCAAACAAAAATGGAAACTTGGAAAAGAAAAAATTCCTAAAGAGAGCTATGGTTCATAAATGAAACAAACTATGTGTGGTCTGACATGAAGTAGTTAACAGAATATATCAGAGTTTTCTGGAAAAACAATAGCATACATATACCAGTGAAGAAATTGCAGGTGGAAGAGGGGGTCTACTGAGAAAGAAAATCATTTATAATTTGTAATTTTTATTTAATTTATAATGTATTATGTAATTTTTATTTAATTTATGATGTATTAAATATAATAATTATGTCCTTATGTATTTTTAAAAAAATCTTTTGTCACTAATAGAAATTTCAGATCAATCTTTCCCTATTATTATTTCTAAATTTAGATTTATATATGAAAATTTAAACTTATTTCTTAAATGACTGTAAGTTGCACAAGGCAAAGGCTTTATCTACACTGACAATTATTGCATCTCCACTTCTGAAAACTATGCCTACCACACTGTCATTGCTTGATAGATATTTTTTGAATTAGTTAATTTAAAAAATTCAGGAAGTTTTAGCTTGGTGTTTAGACATTAGTGATACAATCTGCTTTTTAGGAGACAATCGACCAAGTATTACTAATGAAAATAAAATAAACTCATGGCAATTAAGAATGACACAATTAAAGTTATAAATGACTACCCCAACTTCTTAATATATCTCTCAATTTTTAGAAGACTTAATCTTTGAGGACCAAATAATTCCGTTTTTAAAAATAAAGTACGAGGTTCCAAAAAAGTACAGAAATAACATAAATGCCAATAGATTATTGAAATAAACTCGTGTAGCTAGAGTTTTAGAGGGATATTTAAAGATATGAAAAAATTTTTACAAAGTAAATATTAAATAAAAAATCAAAATAAGAACAACATAATCTTAATTATGTTTTATTTGCATACATTTTATGCATTCGCAAAATACTAGAAGGGTAACATAAATACCTTCATGTTATCTGCGTTTATATCTGGATCATGGAGTTACTATCATGTGCACACTCAAGGTTCTTTGTGCTTTTCAAGTTTTCATAAGAAATATACTTTGGTAATAAAAAGTGATACCTCTATAAATGTTATAAATGTATAATAAAGCTGAGAATGGCAAGGTAGGAAGAATTTCAATGCACATTTGTTTTTATTCTCTTAAGATTGCCTGGGGCTCTGCTAGGATGTAGATGCATTTTGTTTTATGCCTAAGTGGTAATGGATTTACATACAAAATGATTCTTCAAATGACTATAAAGGTCATCATTCCCAACTGCCACAAGATAAGGAAGGCTTTGGAATAGTGATATTTGGCATTATTGAGCCCTAATTATGGACCAGGCAACATCCTAAGAACTTTATATGAATTAGCTCATTTCTTCCACACAGTAGATCCAAGAGGTAGATACTATTATCATCCCCATTTTTCAGATGAAGAAATATGGGTTTAAATAAATCAAGTACATTGTTTACGTTCAGTAGCTAGTAAACAGAAGAGGTTGAATTTAGATTCAAGTAACCCAATGCTCCCATGAGGAATGCTTATGAAAATCCTTTTGCCTTTTGAAATTTAATAAAGTAAATTCACTTCCTTTACTTTTTAAAATTTGAAGCTAACCATGCAGCATGTCTACAGAGAGCTGATAGGGAAGCCATGTTGTCTCTGGAGGCTGCAGGAGAGAATAATCTAAACTGACGTGCTGCCTCAAATCGCTCTGACTTGGAATTTGTTAAGGGAGATTCTTAAGCCAATTTGCTCAGCGACTATGCGTAAGAGACAATGTCCCGTCAAAGTGGCGTCAAATCATGCCAGGCCTCTCAATGGCTCATTCCAAGAGACACCTGTCAAAAGAATGGACTGGCAATCTGGTGTTCTCACAACCACATGAGGAAGAAAAACGTTCATCTGTTAAACACAGTTCTATATTTTTATATAAACAGTTTAATGGTGATGAATAATTTTACCCTCTAATTCAGGAAAAGGGCTGGGTATAAGAACTTCAATCCTGTGTACATTTCCTATAAAAGAATGCTTTCTGGGGGGAAATATCTTCCTCGATATTTTAAATATAAATGTAAGTTTCTCAACTCAAGTATATATAACCATTTTGTTTGTTCTTTCTGATTGTTTCAGTTAGCCCAATAGCAATTGTTAAGTCAATGTTAGAGCACATTAACTTAATGTTGAAGGTTAGAACATTGAAGCTATATAGTTATTTTTCTTTCTTTTTTGAAATTAATGTGCCTAGGTCAATTAAAATCCCAGGAAGCCTCAAAAGAGGAAGAAACAGGTTCTAAACTATGTATTAGCTGAAAAACAAACAAACAAAAGCAGTCACTATTTTCTTCCAAATTAATTCCGTAGCATTTACAGAGAATTTATTGAGTGTTAGGTGCTGGGGATACAAAGATTAATAAACCAGGGACCTTGGCAGTCAGAACTGAGTCCAGGTAAAAACACAAAAATGTGAATGAATAATTAAACACACCATGCAGACTCAAACCTTGCTTAGAATGAAGAGGATTATAAACATGCACACACACAGGGAGAAGAAATTTATAAAAGCCCTATGGTCAATGTGATATGAAAGAAGAAAGGCAGGTTCACCTAACCATTTTGGGAACATAAGGAAGGTTTCCAAAAGGGGGCAAAGTTTCATCTAACCTGTGGCAATTAGATGAAAAGAGAAAGAAGAAGAAAAAGGAAGAAAAGGAAGGGGAGGAGGAATTAAAAGAGGAAAGGAAGGAAGGGGAGGAAGAGGAAGGTGAAAAGGAGGAAAAGGCACAAAGCATGAAATTAAATTGCTTACATTTCCACAAATACGGCTTGCTATGTGGTTTGGTAAGGGAATGTAAAAATTGAATATCTGTTTTATTTAACATCTAATTAGTTTTCCGTGTGTCTACACCATTCTCTTTTTGGTTCTTTTAATTCCCATGACTGAGTTTTAAGCACGATTACACCTGCTTATAGCAAATCAGATCTCTGGATGTGGGGCCAGAGAACCAGTACTTTTACAAATCTCTGCAGGACATGCTCCTGGGTGGAGAACTCCTGGCCTAGACTAACTGAGGCAAGCAGAAGCAGCTGTGATCATACCATGAGACCATCCAATACTACATTTTTACAAAAAAAAAAATGTTTAACATGAGATCTTTCTACTTAACACATCTTTAAATGCATAATACAGTATTGTTAACCATAGGAACAAGCTTGTAAACCAGATTTTTAGAACTTATTCATCTTATTCATTGAGGTGGTAAACCAGATCTCTAGAACTTCAATTTATTCATCATAACTGAAAGTTGATGTTCATCCAGTGCTACTTGATAAAGACGTGACTAAGAGAATAAGAGAACTTAGCTCTAATGCATCTGCTGACAATAAACATGACCTTTCTGAAATCGAAAAATTGAAAAAATGAAATTTGGGGTTTTATTTGTGATGGTGTTGCCAGTGATTTCCTTGTGGGAACTGACCAGAACCCTGTAATAATGTCAGTAGGATTTCATCTCTTGCTTTATTAGCAGGGCTTGATTTGGCATTTTATAAAATTGCCATTTGAGGGCAAGATAAGGGCAGCATCTATGGAATATCACATGGTCGTATGTCCTCCCTTAGATAAAGGTGGAAAGGCAGCAGGAAATATCAGACCTCAGGGTCCACTACCACCCAGGTTCAGCTCTGTGGGAGAATCTGTGAGAGGGGTGTCCATTGGAAGTGTGTATCTGGTCTCCTTTACTGGCCCTTGTACAGGACACTTACTTCCTTTTCAGGAACACTTTCCTGCCAATGTTACCATGTATGTTCTTGAGGATTAGGCACTGACAGTGCATGGAAAAATGAGTTAACAAAGGCTCAAGGAAGACCTAAGAGATGTTATTAGAAAAAGGATAAATACTGATTTTCTAGGTCTCCAGTTATTTCATTTTAACCATATTACTATAGATATGTCACTTCTCTTATTCATACACTGTAATAAAGCAAGTCAACAATCACCAAAAACTTTTTGTTGAAACTTTTGTTGAAATATTCTTCTCTAAAATCCCCAAATTTCCAAAGGATATTAAGAGATCAATTGATAAATGATCTTGAAGTTAAAAGCCAAAGATCAATGCTCCCCATATGCCATGGACTTTGAAGATTTCTTGCTAGCTAGCTTCTAGATGGGGCCAGATGGAAGAAACAGACCTCTGGTTAATTCTTACAATTCCCTCCTGGAGAAGGGGCTATAGTAATACAAGAAGTAAGCAGAGGAGATCCTGGCAAATGCCACACACCACCTTAATTTGCAAAGATAGAGCATGTGGTGGTCTCCCCACGAAAGCCCTTTATCTGCGAGGAATCAATAGTGCCAGGAATTAGTTGTACCAAAACCAATAGCACCATGAAAATCGGACAGAGGCAGGAGGTAGCATGATGCATTCTGAGGACTGAAGGACAGCATATGGTTTTTCTGCAGAGCACTTAAGCTTTTGCATTCAAATCCTTTAGAAAGATATATATATATCTTTTGAACCCAGAACTCTGTTTCTGCATATTTATCCGGAGAAATGGTTCTGGGTATTCAGAAAGATTTAACTACCTTTCACTGTTATTTATAGTAGCTTAGAATTATAAACAACTAATATAACCATAATAAAGCATTTTTAAAATGTCACAACTATAAATGAATATTAGTCTCTCCTTAAATATTATGTTTGAAAGCAGTAGTTAATGGCATTGAAAAACAGTCCCAATAAATTGCCCTTGACTGAAATAGCATGTCTTATTAAAACATCACTTTTGTAAAATAATATAAAGTGCACGTACACTCTATTTCTGAAAATCCCTAATTCAAATGCATGTTTTGACCAAATTTCTGACAAAATCAGGTGTGTCTTATAACGTATGTCGAAAGATTTTTGGCAGCCACCAAGCAAGGGAGTGAGTTGAGACACGGTTGTGATTACCTGCCCATGTGAGAACATCCTAGTACATAAGGGGAGCTTGTTGACCAATTAGCAGGTCCGTTATGATCACTGGTACCATCTCGTGTATTTAATATTTAAATGTGCATTTTTAATATTGCCAAACTATCTTCCAAAAGATTATGCTGGAATAAAACATTGACATTAAAAGTTATTTTATACTGCAAACCCTGTCACACACAGAGTGATACAATTAAAGACAGTAGAAATTATTATGTCAAACAGGATCCTGGAATTTTCATAGATGTCACTCCAGTGCCAAATATCATCTGTCAAAATCTTCTATCAGGCTTCCAGGGAAAGATTTTTAATGTTCTGCATTGGTATGCAATTACAAAAAAAAACAAAACAAAAATGTCCCAGGCCTTCAATAAATTTTAAAAGGAACTTGAAATTCCAGCTTATTTAGGTTTTCCTTGAACTTGCACCACTGAGCATAAAGGGCCCCAAAGGGCCAAACTCCTGATGAGGAAATAGGAAAAGCAGCAATCCTCTCTGATGCTGATATTGCTGTCTGTGGCCAAAGTGATTCACAAAAATTTAGTCTCTAAGTATAAAGAGGCTTTGATTCAAACTTTGTGATAAGAAAGAAGAA
The DNA here is from genome assembly GCF_000001405.40 of Homo sapiens. Classification (NCBI taxonomy): domain Eukaryota; kingdom Metazoa; phylum Chordata; class Mammalia; order Primates; family Hominidae; genus Homo; species Homo sapiens. The sequence continues at coordinate 31,870,111 of NC_000009.12, read as the reverse complement.
AATGTTGAGCATGCTTAGAACAGGCTTCAAGATGACTGACTAGAGGAATCTGATACTGATCTCCTTTCCAAAGAAAAACCAAAATAGTGAGTAGATAATCATACTTCAAATAATCTAAGAGAAAACACTGCAATTTCACAGAGCAGTGACAAGAAAACACCTACGGCAAGGAAGGAGAAGGAAGTGAGGCACCTTGTTCAGCCAGGATTGGCTGGGAGGCTGGAGAGGTTCCCCAATGTGAAGGAGTAAGTGAGAGATCCCAAGTAGTCTACAATTTCACTGTAGACCCCTACAATCCTAGCCCCAAGAAAGCCCCTGGGCCCTCCCAGGTCCTGAGACTAACATAGAGCAGTACCTGGAGACCATGCAACAGCACTGCTCCAGAGAGGGAACTTACACTGGGTCCCACACACTCTCTGAGTTCTAAGTAGCTATAGCAAGGTGCCATATTGAGACCTCAGCCCACACCAGATTGCATCCTGCCTGGAGGGTCCAATAATCCCTGCATCTCCACATCCCTGGACCTCTACTGACATTCTCACTCAAGACACTGCTGTGGCTGGCTGCTGCCATAAAAACCAAAGCACAAGCTATTGACAATGGCCTTGCTGCTCCCCAGCAGCAAAACCAGCGCACATTTTTACATGCCCCAAGGACAAACTCTCCTACCTACAGATGCTGCCACTGCAGGCTGCTGCAGCTAAGGCCAAAACAAGAGCAAAGAGTGCATGCTTCTCAGCCAACTCCTGCCATTGAAAGCAATCCCACCCTCACCAGTAGCAGAATGCAGTGCAGTTGCCACTGCCACTACTCAAGCATTCTGCTGGGGTCCTGGAGATTACACCGCCACTGCCTACCATGGCCAGGACATGCATGCAATGCTGGGGGGCCTGAAGACAGGTCTACCTGGCCCAGATCCACCTACCTACAGCCCAAGCATGCCATCCAGAGACCTGGGGAATGCCCAGCTCAGTCCACCACTGTTGGACTGAAGCACTCCTCCTGGGGACGTGAAGTTCGGCTCATCCAATCTGCTGCTACTGGTACAGCTGATACCACCCACATGGGCCACCCGTGAGCCTGGGGACTGGCTTTCCCAGCCTGTCACAGCCACTGTAAACACCAGAATGAACTACTCAGAAGCCAGAGGGTTGCTCTCCCACTGCGCTGCCATTGTCCATTCCACATCCACTGCTCATCGGTCCAAGAACATGCCCACCTGCCTGGACCATCACTGTCACTACCAATGCCTGAATGAGCTGCCTGGAGGCCCAAGAACTAGCCCGACTGGACCCTCTAACACTAGTGCCCGTGTATGTTACTTTAGGGCCAAAACATTGGCATAATTGACCCACTACTGCCACCAGTGGGCATGAGTACAGGCCCATCTGGTGCCCTGTCTCCAGCAAAATTTCACAGCCTCCACTAACCACAGCACCCTAACAAACATCACTGATGCTGCTTACAGTCAAATAAATGATATGGAGGCTGCATTTCCGGACATACTCAGAATCAAGTGCCTTACTTAACCAACACTGTATCTTCAGAAAAACATCATCCCCTACAAAGGCAAACACAAAAAATTAGAAAAGATATACCACATGTGCAGATATCAACATAAGGACATAAGAAACATGAAAAAGAAAGAAATATGACAACTTCAAAGCAACACAATAATTCTCCAGAAACAGATTCCAAAGAAAAATAAATTTTATAATTCCAGGAAAAGGATTCAAGATAATGACACTAAAGATGCTCAGTGAGATATAAGATAATACAAAAAATATATATAAAAACAATTCAGGATGTGAATAAAAAATTAAGCAAAGTTAGATATCATAAAAAAGAACCAAACAAAAATTGTGGAACTTGAGAATTTTAAAATAAAATACAAAGTACATTGAAAAGCTTCAACAATAGACTAGATCAAGCAGAAGAAAAAATTTCAAAACTTGAAGACAGATCTTTTGAAATAACACCTCCAGACAAACATAAAAATCAAAGAATAAGAAACAATGAACAAAGCCTATGTGACATATGGGACTGAAAATGTGACCTGATATAAAAATTTTAGGTGTCCCAGAAGGTGAAGAGAATGTGAAAGGGATAGAAAATTCAAAAATCTCTTCACAGCACATTATAGTCAAACTGTCAGAAGTCAAAGGCAAAGAGAATTCTAAGAATAGCAAGAGAAAAGCATCTAGTCACCTATAAGGGAACACCCATCAGACTAATGGTGGATTTCTCAACAGAAATCTTTCAGGCCAGGAGAGAATGGGATGTATATCGATATATATCTAAATATATCTCTATATATATATCTCTATATAGTGCTAAAATAAAAATTAAAAAAATACTGTCAATCAAGGTACTATACACAGCAAAGCTATCCTTCATAAATGAAGGAGAAATAAAGTCTTTACCAGACAAGAAAAATCTGATTGAATTCAAAACCACTAAAAGGGCCTTACAAAAAATGCTTAAGGGAGTCCACACCTGGAAGTGAAAAGACAATATCTGCCATTATGAAAATACATGAAAGTTAAAACCCACTAGTAAAGAAAACACACAAAGAAGGAAGAGAAAGAATTCAAATGTTACAGAAAACTACCAAACCACAATGATAAACAATAAGAGAGAAAGAAACAAAGGATATACTAAACAACCATAAATCAATTAATAAAATGACAAGAATAAGCCCACACATATTAGTAATAACCTTCAAATGTAAGCAGATTAAACTTTCCTCTTAAAAGATATGGAATGGTTGAATGGATAAAAAATGACCCAACTATATGCTTGCTATAAGAAACTCATCTCACCTATAAAGATGCACATAGACTAAATGTAAAGGGATAGAAAAAGATCCATGCAAATAGAAACCAAATGTGAGCAAGAGCAGCTATGCTTATATCAGATGAAACAGAATTTATGTCAAAAGCTGTAAAAAAGAGAAAAAGATCATTTTATTACGATAAAAAGATTAATTCAGCAAGAGGATATAATGATTATAAACATATGCCCCCAGATATACGAAGCATATTAATTATTAGGTCTAAAATAAAAGACTCCAATACAATAATAGTTGGAGACTTCAACATCTCACTCTCAGCATTAGATAGATCATCTAGACAGAAAATTAACAAAGAAACATTGGATTTAAACTACACATTAGACCAAATAAACCTAATAGACATGTACAGAATATTTTATCCAACAGCTACAGGACACAAATTCTTCTTAACAGCACAGAGAATATTCTCACAGAGAATTAGTATAACAGATAAGTCTCAAAAAAATTTTAAAAATCTCAATAATATCAAGTATTTTCTCAGACCACAATAGAATAAAACAAGAATTCATTGACAAGAGGAACTTGGAAAATTGTACAAATACATGGAAATTAAGCAACATGCTTCTAAATGACCACTTGGTGAAGGAAGAAATTAAAGAGGAAATAAAAAATTTTCTTGAAAAAAATAAAAATAAAAACACAACATACCAAAACCTACGGGATACAGCAAAAGTACCGTAATAAGTGCCTACCTTAAAAAGGTAGACACATTTAAAATAATCTAATGATGCACTTGAAAGAAGTACAAAACAAGAGCAATCCAAAGCCAAAATTAGTAGACAGTAAGCAATAATAAAATCAGAGCAGTACTAAAGAAAATGGAGAATAAAGCATAGAAAGGACAATGAAATGAGGGTTGTTTTTTTGAAAAGATAAAATTGATAAACTGCTAGATAGATTAACCAAGAAAAAAAGAGAGAAGACTCAAATGAATAAAATTAGAAATGAAAAAGGAAATATTACAGTTGATACAACAGAAAGACAAAAGATCATTAGAGACTATGATGAACAACTATACACTAACAAACTGAAAAACCTAGAAGGAATGGAATTTTCCTGGACACATACAACCTACCAAGATTGAATCAGAAAGAACTAGAAAACCTGAACAGACCAATAATGAGTAATGAGATTGAATCAGAAAATAAAAATCTTTCAACAAAGAAAACTCCAGGACCAGATGGCATCATTGTCAAATTCTACAAAATATTCAGAGAAAACTAACACTGGTTCTCCTCAAACTACTCCAAAAAATGAAGAGGAGGAAATTTTCTCTAAGACATTCTATGAAGCCAGCATTACCCTGATACCAACACCAGACAAGGACACAATAAAAAAAGAAAATCATAATTCAAGATGGATTAAAGACTTAACTGTTAGACCTAAAACCATAAAAACCCTAGAAGAAAATCTAGGCAATACCATTCAGGACATAGGCATGGGCAAGGACTTCATGTCTAAAACACCAAAAGCAATGGCAACAAAAGCCAAAATTGACAAATGGGATCTAATTAAACTAAAGAGCTTCTGCACAGAAAAAGAAACTATCATCAGAGTGAACAGGCAACCTACAGAATGGGAGAAAATTTTTGCAATCTACTCATCTGACAAAGAGCTAATATCCAGAATCTACAAAGAACTCAAACAAATTTACAAGAAAAAAAACAAACAACCCCATCAACAAGTAGGCAAAGGATATGAACAGACACTTCTCAAAAGAAGACATTTATGCAGCCAAAAGACACATGAAAAAATGCTCATCATCACTGGTCATCAGAGAAATGCAAATCAAAACCACAATGAGATACCATCTCACACCAGTTAGAATGGCAATCATTAAAAAGTCAGGAAACAACAGGTGCTGGAGAGGATGTGGAGAAATAGGAACACTTTTACACTGTTAGTGGGAATGTAAACTAGTTCAACCATTGTGGAAGTCAGTGTGGCGATTCCTCAGGGATCTAGAACTAGAAATACCATTTGACCCAGCCATCCCATACTGGGTATATACCCAAAGGATTATAAATCAGGCTGCTATAAAGACATATGCACATGTATGTTTATTGCAGCACTATTCACAATAGCAAAGACTTGGAACGAACCCAAATGTCCAACACTGATAGACTGGATTAAGAAAATGTGGCACATATACCCATGGAATCCTATGCAGCCATAAAAAATGATGAGTTCATGTCCTTTGTAGGGACATGGATGAAGCTGGAAACCATCATTCTCAGCAAATTATCGCAAGGACAAAAAAACAAAACACCCCATGTTCTCACTCATAGGTGGGAACTGAACAATGAGAACACTTAGACACAGGAAGGGGAACATCACACACCAGGGACTGTTGCGGGGTGGTGGGAGGGGGGAGGGATAGCATTAGGAGATATATCTAATGTAAATGATGAGTTAATGGGTGCAGCACACCAACATGGCGCATGTATACATGTGTAACAAACCTGCACGTTGTGCACATGTACCCTAAAATTTAAAGTACAATTTAAAAAAAAAAAGAAAATCATAAGCCAATATCCCTGATAAACATAAAAACAAAAACTCTCAACAAAATACTAGCAAACTGAATCAGACAGCATATCATAAAGATAATACACAATGATCAACTGGGACTTAACCCAGTGATGCAAAGATGGTTTAACATATGCAAATCAATAAATATAATATCTAACATTAACAGAATGAAGGACAAAAATCTATGATAATCTCAATAGATACAGAAAAAGCAATTAATAAAATTCAATATCCCTTTATGATAAAAATTCTCAAAAAACTAGGCATGGAAGGAACACACCTCAACATAATAAAGGGCATATACAATAAACCCCCAGCTAAACTTCCACTGGATTGGGAAAAGCTGAAAACTTTCTCTTTAAGTACTGGCTAAAGACAAGGATGCCCACTTTCACCAATCCTATTCAACACAGTACTGGAAGTTCTAGCCAGAGAAATCAAGCAGGAGAAAAAAAAAGACATTCAAATTGGCAAAGAGAAAGTTAAATGTTCCTTTTTGCAGATGACATGATCTTATATCTAGAAAAACCTAAAAACTCCAAAAAACTCTTCGATCTGATAAATCAACTCGGCAAAGTTGCAGGATACAAAATCAACATGCAAAAATCAGTAATATTTCTATACCCTAGTAATGAACTAGCAGAGAAAGAAGGAATCCCATGTACAATAGCTACAAAAAAATTTGAACTATCTAGGAATAAATTTCACCAAAGAGATTAGAAAACTCTACAAAGAAAACTACAAAACACTGATGAAAGAAACTGAGAAGGCCACAAACAATTGGAAAGACATCTCATGCTCACGGATTGAAAGAATTAATATAGTTAAAATGACAACAATGTCCAAAGCAGTCTACATATTTAATGCAATCTCTATCAAAATACAAATGTCATTTTTCACAGAAATAAAATTCTAAAATTTATATGAAACCAAAAATTAGCCTGAATAGTCAAAGCAATGCTGAGTAAAAGGAACAAAACTGGAGCCATCACATTACCTTACTTCAAAATTTATTACAAGGTCATAATAATGAAATAGCATGGTATTGGTATAAAAACAGCAACACAGATTCAATGAAACAGAATATACAACCCAGAAATAAATCTGCATACTTCCAGCCAACTGAATTTAAATAAAGGCACCAAGAACATACAGTGGGGAAAGAACAACCTCTTCAATAAGTGGTGTTGGGAAAATCAGATATCCATATGCAGAGGAACAAAACTGTACCCATCTCTCACTATATACAAAAATCAACTCAAGATAAATTAAAGACTTAAATATAAGGCCTGATGCTATAAAACCGCTAGATCAGTACATTGGTCCAGGCAAATATTTAATGGTTAAGACCTCAAAAACACAGGCAACAAAAACAGAATAGACAAATAGGACCATATTACACTAAAAAGCTTCTGCACAGTCAAGGAAACAATAGACAGAGTGAAGACACAATCTGTTGAATGGGAGAAAATATTTGCAAACCATTCATTTGACAAGGGACTAATATTTAGTATATACAAGGAACTCAAACAACTGAACAATAAAAAACCAATAATCCCATTAAAAGTGGATAAAGGACATGAATAGACATTTGTCAAGAGAAGACATACACACAGTCAAAAGGTATATAAAAATGCTCAACATTACTAATCATCAGGGAAATGAAAATCAAAACAACAAGATAGCTTACCCCTGTGTAAATGGCTATTACTAAAAAGACAAAAAAAATAACAAATGCTAGTCAGAATGCAGAGAGTAGTGAACACAAATACAGTAGTGTTGGGAATGCAAATTAAAAAGCTACTGTGATAAACAGTATGGAGATTTCTGAAAAAAAAAATAACAAAAATAGAGCTACCATATGATCCAGCAATCTCACTGCTACTGGGTATTTACCCCCAAAAAGTAATCAACATATCAAAGGAATTCCTGCTGCCCCATGTTTATTGCTACACTGTTCACAATGGCCAAGATAATGGAATCAATCTAGGAGTCCATGAAGAGATTGATGGATAAAGAAAATGTATATAAACACAATGGAATACTATTCAGATATAAAAATGAATGAAATTCTGTCATTCATAACATCATGGATGGAACTAGAGGACATTATTGTTAAGTAAAGTAGACCAGGAACAGAAAGCTAAACACATATTCTCACTCATATGTAGAAACTTAATAAGCTGATCTCATAGAAGTGAAAAGTAGAATAGAAGATACTAAAGGTTGGGAAGGAAGGTGAAAGGGTAAAATACATAGGGATTTGTTAAAGGACACAAAACGACAGCTAAATAGGAGGAATAAGTTATAGTGTTCTATATCACTGTAGGTTGAATATAGTTAACAATAATATAAGGTTTACTATAGCTAGAAGGAAGATACTGAATGTTCTCAACACAAAGAAATAAATGTTTCTCAACACAAAGAAATAAATGATGTGCTAATTACCCTAATCTGATTACTGCACATTGTATGTACTGAAACATTATGTACCCCATGAATATGTACTATTATTATTTGTCAATTAACATAAATTTCAAAAAATATCACAAAAACTAATGATTCTTTATCACAGTAAATTAAACCAATAAAACTGAAGAAGAATCAACATTTTACAATATTCAACTTTACTATTCAGGAACATGGTATGTTTTCCTACAGTTTAAGTAACAGACATAAAAGATGGCTTGAATAATTAATTTTCTTTACCTGGATTATCCACATTTCTTCTTAGCATTATTTATATGTCTTATAATTTTTACAGTTTTTATAAATGAAATTTTGGTCATATATTACAAACTTTATTCTAAGACATAGAAAAGTTATTGATTCCTACATATATTTTATAGATTTCATTCAGAGTCCATTTTGTATTAAGTATACTTGGTTTTTGTCTCAAGTTCTTGGATATATAATCATGATAGTTGCTGAGTGATGAAATTGTATAATTTGTCCAGTATTTGTGATTTATTACTTAATCCACTATTAGCTAATGTTTCTCTTGTTTTCCTATTTGACTTGGTGATATTGCAAATTATTTTCATAAATTTCCTAACTTTAAAACATCCTCTCATCACTAAGATAAGCTCTACTTGATTATAGTAGTTTGGTCTTTTAATATGCTGTTATACTCTATTTTCTGGTAGTTCATTTACATACTTTGCTTCTAAATTCTTAAATGATTTTTGTCTTTTTTTTACTTGCACTGATTGTCATATTTTGACTTCAAGGTTTTTCTAACTTCAGAAAATAAATTGAATACTCTTTCATCTTTTCTTGTGCTCCAAAGAAAATTACACAGAATTAAAATTGCCTGTTTTTTGAAAATATGAAATACATTGTTTTTAAAACTATAAAGGATCTTTGGTGCCAATTTATTGAAATAACTATTTTATACTGATTTTAAGATATATGGACATGTAGGAGATGGGGTATACGGCTGTATATAAATTCAAGAAGGAAATTTGGTTTATTGTAATATTAAAAATTATTAATTTTGGGTGAAGCCATTTGGGTGGTTTTTTAATTGTTCTTTTTAATTTCTCTATGCTATTCTTTATAAATTACCTATAATTAACATATTATACCTATAGCAAAATGCTAAACATATTAATGAAGGATATAAATTCCCACATTACATAATTCAGAAGTGCTGTAAGTGCCTTCAAAATATCAGTTTGCACCAGTTCTCAATTTCATGTAATATTTAAATATATTTATCTAAAATCAGGGGACTAAATTTATTCTGCAGAACTCGGCACACAGAGTTTCTTTACACAGAGTCGATAACCGAGAAAAACTTCCCTAAAAGCATCATTACATAAAAATAATTCATTCCAAACATGATGAATATTGTTATAGTGCCAATATTAGAATAGCCTTACAAAATTCCATCTGTTTCTTATATAGATCATGAGTCTGAGAAACATAGACTTGCAATACATGAAGATAGAAATTGATGGATCTTTTTAATGGAGAATCTTTAAAGCATAAGATTCAATAGAAAGCATTTTTTTCGTAAAATAATTCCTCAGAAAAGAGGAAGACATCTTAGATGCATGTTCTTAATCTATTTCATTTTACAAATTGTTTTAAAGATGAATTGCAATCCTAATCAAAATCCAAATTCATATGAAGATGTAAAAGGTTAAAAAAGCCTAGTCGAAGTGTGAGAGCTTTTCCTACAATTTTCAAGATTTATTATAAAGTTCCAGTAATTAAGACAGTGCAGAGCTAGACACAACAGAATAAAGGGACTATAAACAGATCCATGATTACATGCATACTCATTATATACAAAGGTATTTCAATAAGTGATACTGGGACAATAAGACCTCTATACAGAGAAAACGACATTAGACATCATACAATACACAAAAACCAATGAATACATGTAGACCTAAATGGAAAAGGCAAACTACAAGGCTTTTAGAAGATAATATAGAATATCCTTAACTAGGAGACAAAAAGCTATCATAGACAAGACCAAAATGTCTGTATATTAAGGAAAATGATAAATCCAACTATACTAAATTACAGAAGATACCACAAAGAGATATAAGCCAAAGAATGAGAAAGAATACTTATAATATATATGATTACTAGAAAACTTGTGTAAAGAACATTTGCAAATCAATATTTTTAAAAAGCACAATAGAAATGTGCACAAAATTTTATTTTTCGCTTTAAAAAAAATTTTTTTTGGCTAGATGGAATAATTCTTTTCTTTATTTTCTTCCCAACTTTTATGTTCGGTTCAGGAGTACATGTGCAGGTTTGTTTTATAGGTAAATTGCATGTCACAGGGGTTTGGTGTACAGGTTATTTCATCACTCAGATAATAAGCATAGTACCCGATAGTTTTTAAAATCCTCACCCTCCTCCCACCTTCCATCTTCAGGTAGGACCCAGTGTCTATTGTCCCCTTTTTCGCATCCATGTGTACTCATGTTTAGCTACCACTTATAAGGGAGAACGTGTGGTTATTTGGTTTTCTGTTCCTGTATGAATTTGCTTAGGACAATGGACTCCAGCTACAACCATTTTGCTGCAAAGGATATAATTTTGTTCTTTTTATGGCTGCATAGTATTCCATAAAGTATATGTACTACATTTTCTTTATCTGGTCCACCATTGATGGGCATCTAGGTTGATTCCCTGTCTTTGCTATTGTGAATAGTGCTGCAATAAACATATGCCTGCACGTGTCTTTATGGTAGAATGATTTATATTCTGTGGGATATATACCCACTAATGGGACTGCTGGGTCAGATGGTCGCTCTGTTTTAAGTTCTTTGAGAAATCTCCAAACTGCTTTTTACAATCTCCCACCAACAGTGTATAAGCGTTTCCTTTTCTGTGCAACCTTGCCAGTGTCTGTTACTTTTAAATTTTTAATAATTGTTATTCTTACTGGTATAAGATGGTATCTCCTTGTGGTTTTGATTTGCATGTTTCTAATGATTAGTGATGTTGAACATTTTTTCATATGCTTGTTGGCCATGTGTGTGTGTCTTCTTTTAGGAGGTGTCTGTTTATGTCCTTTGACCTTTTTAAAATAGGGTTGTTTTTCGCCTGTTAATTTGTTTGAGTTCCTTATAGATTCTGGACATTAGACTTTTGTCAAATGCATATTTTGTGAATATTTTCTCCCATTCTGTAGGTTGTTGGTTAACTCTTTGGATAGTTTCTTTTGGTCTGCAGAAGCTCTTTAGTTAAATTAGGTCTCACTTGTCAATTTTTGTTTTTGTTACAATTGCATTTAGAATCTTCATAATAAAATATTTGCAAGAGCCTATGCCCAGAATGGTATTTATTAGGTTTTCTTCTAGAGGCTTTATAGTTTTCTATTTTAAATTTCAATCTGTAGTCTATCTTGAGTTGACTTTTGTCTATAATGAAAGGAAGGGGTCCAGTTTCAATCTTCTGCATATGGCTAGCCAGTTATCCCAGCACCATTTATTGAATAAGGAGTTCTTTCCCCATTGCTTTTTGGTGACTTCATCGAAGCTCAGATGTTTTTAGGTGTGTGGCTTTACTTATGGGGTCTCTATTTTGTTGCATTGATCTGTGTGTCTGTTTTTGTACCAGTACCATGCTGTTTTGGTTTCCGTAGCCTTGTAGTATAAAATCAGGTAATGTGAGGCCTTCATTCTTTTTCTTAAGATTGCTTTGGATTTGGATTTTCAGGGTCTTTTTTGGTTCCATATAAATTTTGGAATTTTTTTCTAGTTCTGTAAAAAATGTCATTGGTAGTTTTATAGGAATAGCATTGAGTCTGAAATAGGTCTGAGTAGTATGGCCATTTTAACAGTATTGATTCTTCCTATCCATGAGCATGGAATATTTTTTCATTTGTTTGTGTTATCTCTGACTTATTTCAGCAGTGCTTTGTAATTCTCATTTTAGATATCTTTCACCTCCCTGGTTAGCTGTATTCCTAAGCATTCTATATTTTGTGGCTATTGCGATGTGATATGCATTCTTGATTTGGCATTTAGATTGGACATTGTTGGTAGATAGAAATGCTACTGATTTTGGTACATGGATTTTGTATCCTGAAACTTTGTTGAAGTTGTTTATCAGATCTAGAAGCTTTTGGACAGAGACTATGGGGTTTTCTAGGTATAATAAAATCATATCATCTGTGAAGAGATGTAGTGAAGGGATATAGTTTGATGTTCTCTGTTATTTGGATGCCTTTTATTCCTTTCTCTTAACTTGATTGCTCTGGCTAGGACTTTTAGTACTGTGTTGAATAGGAGTGATAAGAGTGAGCATCCTTGTCTTGTTCTGGTTCTCAAGGGTAATGTTTACAGCTTTTTCTCATTCAGTATTATGTTGCCTGTGGGTTTGTCACAGATGGCTCTTATTATATTGAGGTATGTTCCTTCAGTGCCTAGTTTGTTGAGGGTTTAAAACATAAAGGGCTATTGAATATTATTGAAAGTCTTCTGCATCTGTTGAGATGATCATGTAGTTTTTGTTTTTAGCTTTGTTTATGTGAGGAATCACATTTATTGATTTGCCTATGTTGAAGCAACCTTGCATCTCAGGGATAAAGGCTACTTGATCATGGTGGATTAGCTTTTTGATGTACTGCTGGATTTGGTTTGCTATGATTTTGTTGAAGATTTTTGTGACTATGTTCATCAGGTACGTTGGTCTAAAATATTCCTTTCTTGTGTCTCTGTCAGGTTTTGGTATCAGAATGATGCTGGCCCCATATAATGAGTTAGGGAAGCGTCCCTCCTACTCAATTTTTTGGAATAGTTTCAGTAGGATTGGTACCAGCTCTTCTTTATATGTTTGGTAGGATTCAGCTTTCAGCTGTGAATTTGTCTGGTACAGGACTTTTTCTGGTTGGTAGGCTTTTTGTTACTGCTTCGATTTCGGAACTTGTTGTTGGTCTATTCTTGGTTTCAATTTCTTCCTTGTTCAATCTTGGGACATTGTATGTTTCCAGGAATTTGTTCATTTCTTCTAGCTTTTCTAATTTGTTTGCACGTAGGTGTTTATACTAGTCTTTGAGGGTTTTCTTTAATATATTTATGTGGCATTGATAATAATGTCCCCTTTATCATTTCTGATTGTTTATTTGGATCTTCTCTTTTTTTTTTCTTTTTTAGTCCAGCTAGCAGTCTATCAATTTTATTTTTTCTTTATTCATTCAAAGAACTGACTTTTGGTTTTTTATTCTATTTATTATTTATTTATTCTTTTATTTATTTTTATTTTATTTATTCTTTCAAAGAACTTTTAGTTTCATCCACCTTTTGTATGCCTTTTTGCATCTCAATTTCATTCACATCAGCTATAATTTTGGTTATGTATTGTTTTCTACTAGTTTTGAGGCTGGTTTGCTCTTGTTTTTCTCCTTCCTCTAGGTGTGATGCTAGGTCTTTCTAACTTTTCCATGTTGGCGTTTAGCAAAACTATACTCTAACATTGCTTTAGCTGTGTCTCAGAGCTTCTGGTATTCTGTATCTTTGTTGTCATTAGTTTCAAATAATTTCTTGGTATCTGCCTTAATTTTATTGTTTACCCAAAAGCAATTCAGAAGCAGGTTATTTAATTTCCATGTAATCATATGGCTTTGAGAGAGCTTCTTAGAACTGATTTCTATTTTTATTGCATTGTGGTTTGACATTAGAATTGATTTCTATTTTTATTTCACTGTGGTCTGACAGTGTGGTTGGTGTGACTTCGGTTTTTTTGAGTTTGTTGATAACTGTTTTACGGCCAATCGTGGGTTCAATTTCAGGTATGTCCTATGTGTAGATGAGAGGAATGTATATTCTGTTGGAGGTGGAGTGTTCTGTAGATGACTGTTAGGTCCATTTGGTCAAGTGTTAAGTTCAGGTATTAAACATCTTTGAGAGTTTTCTGCCTCAATGATCTGTCTGACACTGTCAGTGGGGTGTTGACATCTCCTACTATTATTGTGTGGTTATGTGCATCTCTTTGTAGGTCTCCAAGAACTCATTTTATAAATCTGGCTCCTCTAGTGTTGGGTGTACATATATTTAAGATAGTTAAAATCTTGTTGTTGAATTGAACTATTTATCATTATACAATGCCCTTCTTCGTCCTTTTTTTTATTGTTGTTGGTTTAAGGTTTGTTTTGTTTAAAATTAGAATAGCAACCCGCTGCTCTTTGTGTTTTCTGTTTGTTTGAACCAATGGGTGTCCTTGCATATGAGATGGGTGTTCTATAAACAGCATATAGTTGGGTCTTGCTTCTTTATCAAACTTGCCATTCTACGCCTTTTCTGTGGGGATATGTAGCTCATTTATGCTCAAGGTTAATACTGATACGTGCAGATTTGATCCTGTCATTATTTTGTTAGCTGGTTGCTATGAAGACTTGATTGGGTAGTTGCTTTGTAGTGCCAGTTATCTATGTAGTAAGTGTGTTTTTATGGTGGCTTGTAATGGTCTTTTGTTTCCATGTTTGGCACTCCCATAAGGGCCTCTGGTAAGGCAGTCTGATGGTAATGAATTCCCTCAGCATTCACTTGCCTGAAAGGGTTTTATTTCTCCTTCACTTATGAAGCTTACTTTGACTGGATATAAAATTTTTGGTTGGAATTTCTCTTCTTTAAGAATGCTGAATATAGGCCCCCAATCTCTTCTGGCTTGTAGGGTTTCTGCTGAAATGTCTCCTATTAGCCTGATGGGTTCCCTTTGTAGGTGACCTGCCCCTTCTCTTTAACTGCCTTTAATATTTTTTCTTACTTACTGACCTCAGAGAATCTGATGACTACATGTTTTGGGGATGGTCATCTTGTATAGTATCTCATGGCTGTTCTCAGCATTTCCTGAATTTGAATGTTATCCTCTCTATTGAGGTTGTGGAAAGACTCATGAACAATATTCTCAAATATGTTTTGCACATTGGCAGCTCTCTCCCCCTCTCTTTCAGGGACACCAATGAGTCATAGGTTTGTCTCTATATAATCCAATATTTCTTTGAGGTTTTGTTCATTCTTTTTAATTCCTTATTGTTTATTTTTATCAGACTAAATTGATTTGTAAAATTGGTCTTCGAGATATGAGGTTCTTTCCTCAACTTGGTCTACTCTGCTGTTAATACTTCCAATTGTATTATGAAGTTCTTGTAGTGAGTTTTTCAGCTCTATCAGATCAGTGTGGTTCTTTTTCAAAATGGCTATTTAATCTTTCAGCTCTTGTATCACTATATTGGATTCCTTAGATTCCTTGGATTGGGTTTCAACTTTCTCCTGAATCTCAATGATCTTTGTTCCTATCCAGATTTTGAATTCTATGCCTGTCATTTGACCATTTCCACCTGGATAAGAACCATTGCGGGGGAACTAGTGTGGATGTCTGGATGTAAGAAGACACTACGGCTTTTTAAGTTCCCTGAGTTCTTGAGCTGTTTCTCTTTCATCTGAGTGGCTGATGGTCATTTGGTCTTTGAAACTGCTTTTCTTTGGATTTTTTTTGCTTTTATATTATTTAATTACCTTGAGGGTTTGACTGTGATATAAGGTAGGCTGAGTTCACTAGCTTTGTTTCTGGAAAATTTCAGGGGGCTAAGGCTTTGCTTGGCACTCATGAGCTGTGGATTCTAACCCTGGGGGCTGGTACCAGGCCTATGGGTTTGTTCCCTAGCCCCTGAAGGTTAAGCACCTGCTGAACTGGAGGGGCTGAGGTATTCCTGGTCCACTGGCAACAACACTTCAATGGGGAGTGCAAGCTAATGTGCTTCACTGGGGGAGTGGCAGAGGGTCTGAGCTCATATGCACATGCCAGCAGTGGCAGTGGCATGGCAGGGTGCACATGTGTCAGTGGGCATGTGGTTCCAAAGGGAGACGGGGTGGCAGTGCAGTGGAGTACACGTGCGTCAATGGAGGTGGTGGGCTGTGCTTGTGTGCTGGTGGTGGAGGGGTAGTGTGTTCTACTTGCACACATGACAGCAATGCAGTGCACAAGGGCTGCAGATGAGTGCATGACAACAAAATGGTGGGGGGAGGCTACAGGTGGGTGGTTGTGCATTGGCAGGGTCCTTTGTGATGGAGTTCTCTGATGGTCATGTGCAGTCTGCCAGTGAAGTAGCCTTGGTGTTGGCTGCTAGGAAGCAACTTGTTAGGCACCTGAGGCTACAAGTGGGTGTGGCCAGGCAGGGACCCCATGAGAGCCTGGAAAACAGAAGGGAGTTCAGATCAGACTGGCTTCATCTCACAGGCAAGACAGCCCAACTCTGTCCAGGTCCAACAATCAACAAAGGCCAAAACCACCTAGAAGAGTGTGGCGAGCCTTTAGGGATGGCTGTCCCAGTTCATACTCCACTGCAGCCATTCCCATGCCATACCCTGTGGGCTTTACACAGGCTAAAGTCCTGTCCCTGCCACCTCTCCAAACTGCTTTCCCTTTCAGCTTGTGTCTGTAGGGGCTGTGAGGTCTCCTGCACTAGGATTCTGGAGATCTTTGGCAGTATAATATAGTATGCTCACTCCTTACTCATTTAACTCACCTCTTCCCCAGGAACCACTGGGGTCCAGGAATGAGTCCTGGTACACAGTAGCCCTGTGCAGGTTTCCCAGCCGCCTTACTCTTCAGCCTAGGATCTATATCCTCCCTCTGTTTGTTCTCAATGCTTTCCTTCTGAAGATATGCCTGGAGTGTTCCAGTTTTTTTGATGGTCTAGTATCTCATTGGGAGAGCCATCTTGGCTCCTTCCTGGGCCAAATAATTGAATGGGGATTTAACAAAAGAGGAAATCCAAATGATTAATAAACGTAGGTAAAAATACTGAACCCCAATAGTAAGTCAAATTTAAAATCACAACCACCATATTGCCAAACAATAAAAAATGTCTGTCAATACTAGTTGTTGATGAATTTGTAGAGCAACAGAAATTTCCATACCCTACTACATAATAGGCAAATTGGAATACAACTTTGGAAAGCAATATAACATTCTCTAGTAAGTTTAATGACAGGCATATCTCATAACTTATCAATTTCAGATCTGAGAGTATACCCTGAAGAAATATATGCCCATATGCCAGGAAACATGTACAAAGATGTTCATAACAACATTATTTCAAATAGATTAAAAACAGAAAAAAAAGTTAAAAAAATACACAATAAACTGGATGGCTTACTTTTAGACTTTCCATACAATGTCCTTTATACAATGGAGTAATTGACAAAAGTGAATGTGCTAGGGCCGCATGTAATAACAACAATGCAAATAAATTTTACAAACAAAATGTGGAATAAGAGAATTCAGTCAGAATACATACATTTATATAAAGTTTAAAAAGATGAAAAACTAAGCTATATCATTTGATGATGCTCCTATAAGTTAAAACCATAAACAAATAGAAGAAAGTTACTTTCAAAAGTTACCATACTGGTTATGGCCTTGGGAGAGTGAAAAGACCATGAGGGGAAGACACACCTGGAGAGCATCAGGAGTGCAGAAAACATTCCATCTTGTGACTTGCCTAATGGTTACAGAGGCACTCACTTAATATTTATCATTTAGGATACATGTACTCTTCTGAATGTGTGTATATATCATTAAAAAATTGAAATATTTACATTGTTTATTAATTCCTGGAACAGTTTAAATCCCATGGGAAGTAACCATTCCCTGAAGATATGACAAATCCATTCATGCAAGTCTCTGAACTTAGACGTTCTTATAAAAGTAATTATTTGATAATGTCTTTTTAAATTTTACTTTCTCATTAATTCATCTGCTCAGGTGTATATTTCTGAAATGATTATTTGCATTTTCCAAGAAAGTCACCCTTTGGGAAGATTTTCTCCATTATATTACCATAAAGTTGTCCAATAAAATCATATATTTTAGGTTATATATGTGTGTATGTGATTGCTGTCTTTTTGCCATTCCTCAATATTATGACTTATATGTCTAGTTATATATCTAACATTCTGTTTGTGGGAATTTCCAGCTTTTGCTACCATGAGTATTGCTGTGAACAATATCGTTGCATGTACATATTCTCACTTAATTGTCTTCATTTCTGTATGCTTTGCCAGATGCTTCATTCACACTATGGTAATGTCTGAGACTGTCCATTTCCTTATATCCAATATTAAATCTTAATATTACCATACATTTTAATTTTGCCAGTTTGATGAATAAAAAACAAATTCTCATTTTATAATTTGCATTCTTCTGATTATCAGCAAGCCTGAACATATTTTTTCATTACTTATTGTCCATTTCCATTATTTACATTTCCACTCACATGAATTTGTTTTCTATTTTCTTTTCCCAATTATACTTCTTGAATTTGCTTCTTTTACAATGAATTTACAGTTGGTGTATAGAACTGTTAACCCTTTGTCTACATACATGTCAAAAAATTTCCCCATTATATCAGCTCCATTTTTCTTAACAATTCTCATGTTCAATGTCTTTTGCCATGGAAGAATATTTATTTTTATACAATATTCCTTTTTTTCATTTAAGACTTTTGGATTTTATTCCCTCCATAAGAAATTTTCACTCACCTTAATGTATGCAAATATTATTTTCTAAATTATATATGTTTTCTATAATTATAGATTATATTCATAATTGTATAAGTAATCATATATAATTGTATATAATTATATAGTGCAAAAAATTATCTGGAATTTAATTCTTTATATGTTGTAAGGGACAGCCTATTCTTTTTAAATCAACAAATATTTTTCTTCATTTGACTTTTCCATGACTGTCTTTGTATACACGTACCCTTTCTTTTGCTGATTGTACTAGATGAGGTATAATGAAGCATTCCAAAGTATGGTGTTTGAAGCTGTTTTGGCCCTGCCTATTGTTAGGTATATGAATGGGAGCAAATAACTATATGAATTTTCTCTTTTCCAATTCATCATCCTTATGTTATCTCCAATAATACTTTGTTCTACTTAAAAATAATTTTAATTGAACATCTAGATAATTTCTTTTTTGCTAATATTAATGTATTTAATGGTGTACTTTTTCATAGATTTTTGCTTTTATTAGAACCACAGATTTTGTTGTGTACTATTACCCTTATCCTAATGCGAAGAATTGCCCTTTTGATTTCTTTTAGAACAAAGAGTTATATAGGATAGTGATTCAAAAAATACAAATGATTGAATATTTTTATATTTCATAAATAAAGTTATTTATTGCATAAACCTCAGTATTTAAAACCTGCTTTGGAGTAATTACTGAGGATTT
Organism: Homo sapiens; assembly: GCF_000001405.40. NCBI lineage: Eukaryota > Metazoa > Chordata > Mammalia > Primates > Hominidae > Homo > Homo sapiens. The sequence goes on along the minus strand of NC_000009.12, from coordinate 31,851,009 downwards.
CTCTCTTCTCTGATACACAATCAATTTTTATAAGTCATCCATGGGCACTAGAAAAGAAGTTGCTTTGCAAATCTTTTTGCAATGTATAATATTTAATGCAGTTTATTCACTAGATTTATATGCGTCATCTATATTATCCCTAGCCATTTTATTATAATTTATCCTTCAAAGTGTTAGAAATGTATATTAAATCTTCTGATTACTACTGTTGAAAATAAATATACGTTGTCTTATTATTTATACTGTTCTTGCCATTATAACCTATAGACACTTTATAGCCAAAAGAACATTTCTTTCTGGTTATGAAAATTCTCTAGGCTAAAGAGAGAGAGCAGAGATGTTTATTTATATTGGAAAAATTGCCAGCATGGGCTAGGGGGGTGAGTTTCAAACTTCCCTATGTCTAAATAGAATAGTCGTAGTTAACATACATAACTTGTAGAATTAAGCGTGATGAGGTTGTGTGTTATACTGGCCAGTTTTCATTTGAAAATTTAAACTAGTTTAAGTAAAACAACAACAACAAAAAACTGATCTAAGGAAATAATCTGTAGAAAAAGATGAGATAGATAACCCTGGTATAAATAGTTCCAGCCTCCAAAAGCTGTCAGCAGTCTGTGCTTCCTCTGTGTTCTCTCAGATGGAATAAGCTCAGGAGTATAGAATCATTGCTTATATATTTTCAAACTCACCCAGAAATGGTGGGTGGGGAAATTCTCCTGCATTCACTTCAATCAGAAAAAATTCAGTGAAGTGTTTTGATTGATTTGTTGGCATTTGAACCCCTCAAAAAAGCAAGGGCGGTAGTCCCATGAATGCTCAGATCTCAGACCTGTGTCTGCCTCTATGGATCAGGAGATGGGGTGCTGTCATTGGCCACACTCATGGGGTTAGAGTGGGAAAGGAGTTGAAGAACAGGGTATGACCCTAGAAGAAGATGTTAAAGTGCTGCAAGGAAGAAAAAAGGTATTGTCTCTCCAAAGCGAAAGGGAAAGGAGAAGAGGCACTAAGAATAGTTTAATTCAGATGTGGGAAGAGGATGTGCAAGGAGAAGAAGCAAACATTTAAAACAGTCTGATGATGGAGAGGCAGACCCACAGAACTGTGGAACTGTGAATGTTAGAAGGACATCATTCTTGAGGCTCATAAGGAAGCAAAATGCCTCACTCTTTCCCTTGAGTTGTCTATTACAAGGTCCTGAATTAGAGTAAAAGTGCCATCTAAACTCTGGGCTTTTTTTTTTTTTTTTTTTTTTTTTTTGAGAAGGAGTCTCACCCTGTCACCAGGCTGAAGTGCAGTAGCATGATCTCGGCTCACTGCAACCTCCGCCTCCCAGGTTCAAGCGATTCTCCTGCCTCAGCCTCCTGAGTAGCTGGGACTACAGGCCCGTGCCACCACGCCTGGCTAATTTTTGTATTTTCAGTAGAGACGGGGTTTCACCATGTTGGCCAGGATGGTCTCGATCTCTTGACTTCGTGATCCACCCGCCTCGGCCTCCCAAAGTGCTGGGATTACAGGCGGAAGCCAGCGCGCCTGGTCACCCTCGGCTTTCAAATACTGTCTCAGACCAAAATATTATAATTTTACTATGTATTACCCCATACTAGGACAACCAAAACTTTGCAGAGAGTACAAACAGTGATAGTTGCGGAGCCTGGCCTAGTAAAATGGCTTCTAAAAGGAAAAAACAAGCTTAACTGCTGACGGGGTAGAGAACAGGGAAAAAAAAAGGTTTAAAAATGCCTAGAGAAGAACTTCTTATTCTTACACAACTGTTTTCTTTACCAGGAGAAAAGCTTAATTACTGTCTGATGGAGTAAAACCCGTTGGCTGGGGAAGGGGAAGTCTCCAGAGATGTGGTGGAAAACGCCAGCCAGCCAGCTGTGTGGGACCCTTGGGCCATAAGTCCCAGCCATGGTAAGGATGGGGGGGTAGAGGGGAGCCGTTGCTCGCAGATCTGACTTGAAAAAGGAAGGAAAAGGCCAGGAAAAGGCTTTGGAGTGACAGGGGGTAGGCGCATGGTTTCCCCCACCCTCAGAAGTCCCAGGATGAAAAGGTTTAGAAACCACAGTGAGAGAGTTTTGAGTCTCCATTTCACTCACCGCTTCTCAAGTCCCCACGTTGCGCGCCAAAATTGTTGCAGGGCTTTTCCTTAGTTCCGTTAAAGACGGGGTTCTTTGTCCCACGGCCACAAAAATTCAGGCTCGCAGACAATTTGAATGATGAGTAAGACCCGGTTTTATTGGGTGGAAAGAAAGAAAAGGGGGAAACAGAGACTCTCACTAAGCCAGAGTCCCTGCTAGGGCACTTTGCCTGGCGGCTTGAATCCCAGGTTCCACACAGGAAGAGGAGGAGCCAGGCTCCTCCCCGCTGCAAAGGGTAGGAGCTTCCCAAGGCTGCCCTCAGTGCACAGGCCGGCTGGAGTTTTTTCGGGCACCCACTCGTACCTGGCTCTCTCATACTCACAAGTTAAATGCCTTATCCATCTTAACTAAACACTTATTATACACTGTGGCTGTAACTTTTGCATTTTGAGGTGTGACAGCAAAACTAGAACATATTTCTTTCTTTTTCACAATTTTATAGAAAGTTCATTCTTACTTTAGATCTTAGAAACCTCAGCAAATGATTTTGTTTTCTTTGCTTACTAAGTGAAGAACTTTCAACCTTTTTACTTAAAGGCAGCCCTTTACAACTTCTCTTTGGCATATCTGAATTGTCATAATCACTACTCTTTTGCTTCAGGGCCATTATTAAGTAAAATAAGAGTTACTTGAAGACAAGCAATGTGATACCATGACCCATGATCTTGTATCCAAGATGGCTACTTAGTGACCAAAGTGCAGGCAGTGTATACAGCATGAATATGCTGAACAGAAGGATGATTCATGTCCTGGGTGGGATGGAGAGGGACAGCATGAGATTTCATTAGGCTACTCAGAATGATCCACAATCTAAAATTGTGAATTGTTTATTTTGGAATTTTCCTTTAATATTTTCAGACCATGGTTGACTACGGGTAACTGAAACCACAAAAAGTAAAACAACAGATAAGCAAGAACTACTGTATTTTACACAGATGGTCCCCAACTTAAGATGGTTTGACTTACAATTTTTTACCTTTACAGTGATGAGAAAGTGATACACATTCAGTAGAAACTGTACTTTGAGGACCAGTACAACCATTTTGTTTTTCACTTTCAGTACATTATTCAATACATTACATAAGATATTTAATACTTAATCATAAAACAGGCTTTGTGTTAGATGATTTTGCTGATGGAAATATTCAAGCACTTTTAACGTAGGCGAGGCTGAGCTTATAATGTTTTGTAGGGCAAGTGTATTAAGTGCATTTTCAACCTAACTGTATATTCAACTTACAATGGAGATATAAACTCATTGTAAGTGGAGGACCATCTGTATACTGTTTCTATATTGCTATTTTGTCATGTAATATCACCTAATAAAAATTTTATACCTAATATTCTTTGAAAAATTAAGTTCTAATTATTACCTGATTCCAACATATGACTATACTAACAGGTAGTTATTTTCTTATACTTGGACATTTATATTATCTTTACTTTTTACCATCATAAATAATGTTGTATAAACATTTAAAATATAAATTTTTGTGGGTACCTCTGAATATCTTTTAAGTATAAAAAATTTAATGTTGGATTACTGGTTCAAAATGATAGAAATTTTTAATGCTGTTTATACATTTCACCAATTTATTTTTCTAGATGGTTTCACCATCTAGATGGTTTTCCATTTCCACAGGAAGCCTTATGCCCAATTTCTGAAAAATGATTTTTAAATTTTTGCCAATTTCATACATGAATACTAATATTTCATGTTAATATTATTTTCTTTAATTTTAAATGTGATTGAATATTTGTTGATTCTTTATCATGATTTCTGATTTTCTATATTTAGCAATGTTTTAACGGTATATTATTTTATTAAAATATATGTAATATATATTTATATATATTTTTTCCTTTTGCTTGATGCCATCTTTTTTACTGTATGCTTTAGAATTCTATCTTGAGTGATTAATCAAATAGTATAATATGTTTTCTTCTAGCTTTTTATGGCTTATGTCCATTTAATTAGTTGATTCATTTACTATATAGTTACATGTATAAGGTAAGATAATAATTTAACTTAATTTTCTTCTGAACATTAAAAAATCTATGCAGTTTTTAATTAGCTTGCAATTTTTTCTTACAGCTGTACTAAAATCTGTTCCATGTGTTTTGTTCTGACAATTGATCTCTCTGAGTTTGCACTGCTATCATACTTTTTATAATGTGTATTTATTTTGATTATTTGAATAGCACTGGCTGTTTTCAAAATATTTACAAAATAAAACACAGTATAAAAAGAGAAAAAACCCATGAATGATTTCATCATCACTGATAACATTTCTGCCTTATTTTGTGCAGTCACAGTTTTGTGCACCAAAACAACACAAGCACTCTAAAGTGATATGGAAGAATTGTTTCTATTTTGCCCTCTGAATGATTGATTTCATTTTTGCCTGATGTACTCTTTTTTGCTTCAAATAAACTCTTTAATTCTGTTATTAAATTTTGAGTTTCCTTGTAATCCAGTTTTATCTCATCTTTTTGCTACTCTTTCATTGAATGCTGTGTTTTCTAACTTCCTAACAAAGGTGTATGAATATGCTTAAAGATTTCCTTTTGTTCTATAGCAAATTCTTTCCCGATGTATTAATATTTGTTTTCTTTAACTCTTTAGAATCATGTACATGTTAACTTTCATTTTTCTTATTTATCTAATTTATTATTTATCAATCAATTTACCTACCTTCTTACATACTCATCCTTGTCCTAGAACATGAAGAGATTCAAACAGACCCAATGCCTACCAATAAATAAGCTGGAACTTTATCTTGAGCAGGTACTCTGTCTTTGCTATGGTATTACAATATTATAATTTTCTTCTCATACCAATAGCTGAAGGGCAAGATAACGAGAACAACTCTCAAGATAATTTACACTTTCTAACAGGAATGCATTTAGCGTAGCATTGATAGATTTTGATTGGAATTTCTTCACCTCCTACAGTCTGTTTCTGTGATACAACAAACGCATTAAATAATTTATAAGAATGATCCCCTCCATGAATTGCTACTAGTGGTTTTTTGAATATGTTTTCCCAAAGTGCTTTATCTGCTGGGACTTTACTTCCCAGAATGTAATATGTTATCCCTCAATTTCCTTCAATTTTTTTTTCTTCCTTGGAAGTTGAACTTTCTAGTTGGATGCATGAAGAAAGACAGCATCAGGGAGGTAGGGAATGGAATCATAATAGAGAGATGTTAGCTTGGTGTTTGGGTTGACACAACCAGAATTATCAAATCAGGAAACAGGGAGTTAGTAAAAGGCCAAGTGTCTTTTCATCTTTTTAATTCTCAGATTGAGAAGCCTTATTATGGTTGTCAACTGAGCTCCAAAGGTTTTGTGGTTAGCAGAAATTTCTCTGGTGTGGCCAGTAGACCAGGTGTATATTTCTGTTGTTAGTATTACTAAGAAATTTCTTCTTTTCAGGGCTCCATTAGAATTTTAGTGACAAATTGGAAGAGGCTGATGCAGGAAGTATGGTCTTAGAAAATTTTAAACCAGAATCCCCCAGAGTATTTATATTTGCCATAAAAGGCTCAAGACCCTAATTCATGGAAATCTGGGGTTTATGTTTCACTATGTACAACATGGGGTTAGAGAGTAGACTCCAGTTACACTACTTCTTAAGATAATTTTTTTTTATTTTTTACTGTGGACTGTCTTCAATTAAGAATCATAGATAATAACAGTATTTATGTTGGCTAATTAATATTAAGCAATTTCTACATTCATTTATACTGCTTAAGATTGTAAAATGCAACATATAATGTGGATAGTATTCTAGTTTTTACGAGGTGTAAAAAATGTAACTATTTTATAAGATAACTTTATTAAAATAATCTTACACTTATAATTCAAAGGCCAATAATGTAAGTAGTAATTTGAAAGATCATTTTCAAAAAATTATTTACTTAAATACATAATTTTATTTCTTAGTAATTGACTGTCAGACAGAAGGGGTGGGGAACAATTAATGCTCTTTCGGAGAGAGGCTCCGACTCTTCTCATTACACTGGAGCAATTTTTCTTCTAAGAAATTCAAATTTTAAAGCATTCACTATATTTTATCCATGAGAATAACCTTCTTTTCTTGAAAGAGATTCTACTTAATTTTGAAGAAAATACAATTATCCTTAAGAAGATACAACTCTAAGATTAGTAAAAGATAGGGTTTTGAAAAAGCATTTTGAAGAATGTTCCTTTGCCCTTTTTTGTGGCATTTTCAGTAAAATCCCTGTCGTTTATAATTAAGGGTTCCTATTCTAATGTTCTATTCCAGTAACATCATAATGAAAAATACTAACTTAGTCTAAGCAAAAATGATGATTAGAAGTGGAAAGATTGGTAGAACCCATCAAGCTCAACTCCCTTATTTCGTCTGAACCCCAGAGTGGTTAAGTGACTTGCTCAAACCTATACAGCTTCTGATTGCCACACTGCAGGCCACAGGCAGCTCACTAGACTTCACAGTCTGCTGAAAATTATATTGTGTCTCTATGATGCAATGAAATGTTGGCTAGCCTATTTACGCTCAATAGAATAGATCGATGAAATTGGTACTTGATGGGATACATCTGCTTCGAGATATACCTATTCAGCCTACTTCAGGTCTGAGTGACTATTCTCCATTATTTAACTTATAATTTCCTTAATGTGTCCCTGCCAAATATCTTTTGTGCTTAATAGGAACAAAATGATTCCACCTACACAACCCCAGGAAAGTCCTGGTAAAAATATATTAAGATAGTACAAGATAATGAAATGATGACAAAGACATGATGAGTAAAACTCATTGAATCTCTGTGTATTTAGGCATATAGATTCTAAACTACCATGCCATTTTAATTACTGCTGTCCTCCTTATTGATTTTGTGACCTTGGGAAGCCACCTAACCACTCTGTCCCTCATTTTTTTCAACATCAATATTAACTTTGCAAAATATTACTGTATATGTCACTGCATCCTAAGTCTTAAAACAGCTTGAACCATCAATATCAAGGGAATTTCTGTTTGACTTAATTCATCTATCCAGAAAAGAATACTAGGAATTCTATGAGGAACCCAATCTATTATGCAAATTATCATGAACGTGAGACCAACTGGCCTTGTAATAGGGAGTAAGTTAAAGGCACATCCTACAAAAGATGCGTAAATCTCAGCAGTGTAGAAAAGAAAATTTTCTAGATATAAGTACAATTGTCTATGCCTAATATAGCAAAAACACTAATTGACCCAGAATCGAACAGAACCCAAAGGAATTGAATATGAAGAATTCCTTCATCTAATTTGATGTAGATGGCCCAGGAAACTAGCAAATGACCTTCTTAGAGGAAGTACAATAGAGTAAGGATAGGTACACAAATCCTGCTTTTCTTGCATCTATAATCTTGTAACAAAGCAAGCTTAAACAGAAGATTTCTCAACTGATTGTGATGACCTCAATAAAGCCACCAATTGAAGAAAACTGTACATCTAAGAGTCCCAAGTTCTTAGCTCATCATGGTGGCTTAGGAGATGAGGCTGCCCTTCAGTACCAGCCTGATGTAAAAATTAGTAAAACAGCTTCCTGCATTGGGCATATTTTATAATAAACTAAAATTGCCAAGAAACAAAGGTAATTTCTCTGATGTTGCTGTTAGCAAAATCAGTTTAAATTTATTTAGGTACTTGATTCTTCAGAATCTATCAAGTAAAAAAAAATAGACATTTTTTGCACGCTGGAATATAGAAGGGTTATGGGATTAATATTAAATATCTGGGACATAACTCAAGTTTCTTATACAAAAAAGTCACAGGGATTAAAAAGTCGAAATACATAAAACAATGGCCACCGCTTGGCCTCCATTCTGATGTCTGCCAGGTAACTGACACAGATGACTGTAAGTCAGTTTGCTAAAAGCTTTAATATTGCTGGCACCGGTACAGTTGAGAAGCAGTAGATGAGATGCAATTTGTCCAAATATAATTTTTTTCTTAATGTTGAGAATTGATCATGTCAGATTCACTCAGCATTTAAAAGTGATATGCTACACGTTCCTAAATCACTGTTAAAAAGATAACTCACGTACCATTCTCAGACTAATTCATAAAGTTTCTGGGTCAGGTGGCAGGTATAATTCTTGTCTCATTTTTCCTTCCTCTTTCATGTGCCTGCTGGAAAATCCCCCATCTATGGCAAATGAAATACCAGAAATACACAGTTGCTGTTCCTTAATGATCTTTTGCTATTTTTAGGCATTGCTTAGTTACTGGTTGTCCTGAAATGTCTCCGCATATTCAGAAAATAATTATCTGAGATTGGTTTTATTTCCATGATTTTATTTCATTCCAGTAATAGAACAAAAATTATGCCATGAAATAGGTTTTCTAGGGGTGCAATTGTGGAGTGAGGGATACATTCCTTTGATATAGGAAAAAGCTTTCACTCGTGAATTCCTAGGATGAGTTTAATGGACTTTTTTCTTGATGAAAAATCTCATATACTTAACTTTGTATTTAGAAATAAGCTGACTTCGTGCCCCTATTTGCTTCCCCCAACCCAAACAAGGTTATTTTTTGTCAGAAATTATATTTGAGGATGAAAACATTTACAAATTGTATTGACTATTCAGGCAGACTGAACTCTTCTTATATAAAAAATGTAAAACTATAGAATGTAAAAATATAAATGTATAATGTAAAATTAATTCCAGTTTTGAATGGTTTCGTGTGTATATATATACTCTCCTCAGGTATTCAAGTTTCATAATATCAGGGGCAATGATTTCTACTTCCTTGACTTCCCCTTCTGTTGCTCATCCATTCAGCTAAGTAGGTATTGCAATAATTAACAGATGGTTTTTGGATCATGTATTAGAAATTCAGAGCTGGATTTTGTAATTCTGTTACTGTGTCCTACCTAAGCATTTTCTGTAATTCTCAGTGCAGAACTGTCTGGTAAAGCTGTTATAGAAAAAAGTGTTACTCATATATATGACCGCTACTTGTTTTGTATATTTCTTCTGAACAAGGTATATAATATTAGTTTATTTATTTAGTATTTAATTAATAATCAGTTCTAATAGTGTGGTTTTTTTCCCTTTTTTAGTGAGTTATCTTGGATTTTCTAGGTAATCATATCAACTGCAAATTAATTTATTATCTCATTTTTCCAGAATGTATGCCTTTTTATTTCTTTTTCTTATTTTTTGTTTAGGCTAGTATGATCAGAAAAAATATTTACTAATGATTTAGTTATGAGTAACTTTATATTTTGGTTTGGTTTTATTTTTTATTTTACTAAATTTAATTAAAATGCTTCAATAATTTCTTCATTAAGCGTGATGATCCAATTCAGAATGGTTACATTTTAACATGTCAAGAAATAACTTTCTTATTTCGATTATACCCAGCATGCGAATTAAATTTTATAAAATTATTTTTACATTGACTTAGATAACATGATTTTCTTTTATGACCTATTTTAAACTAGTCAGTGTTTTTGATCGTGATGTATTTTTTATTAAATATATTTGCTTAGTTTGAGGATGATTTATTTTGAATAGATGAAATCATTTCATCTTCTTTTTTCTTTAGTTTTCCTTGCAGGCTTTAATATGTGTATTAGGAAAGATGTAAGAATAATAGACATGCTGAAATACGTAAGAATGAGGAAAATATTTCTTGTGCTTGCACACATGAAGAAAAATTTTGAACAAGTATTCCATGTTAAAACTCTTTAGATGTTGCTCCATTGTCTTATGATATTTTAGATTTGTTTTTGAGCATGGGAAGAAATTTCTTTCCTAGGTTATATACAACTTTTTCTGAATGAATATTCATAGGATTTTTCTTAATTCATATAATTAAATAATTCTGCCAAAATATATCTAGTTATTCTCTTTTTATTATTTTCTGCAAGTGTTCAGTATGCCTTTTGAATTTAGAATTCAAGTCTTCCCCCGCCAGCACCCGCCACTTGTTCTGCTAATTCTGTCTGCTATTTTTATCTTGGAGTATTTTTATCTTTCATTTTTTCCGACTTCACGTTTAAAAAAATGGAGCCTCCATAAAATAGGGCTTCAATTTCTGGCCTTCAGACCTAATGTGTTAATTTTGGTTATTATTACCTCTTTCTGATCTTTCTTTGCATTCCCAGAATATATGTCATATTGCTGATTTAATTTTCTGCAACGTTGTTTCTGTGGTGAGAATGTCCAGTCACAATGGTGAAAATCTTGGTGAATTGAGAAAGAGTCATTTTTCATATCACTAAAAATACTTTCTGTGAGTAAAATTAATCCACAATGTTGCCTGTTTTGGCAGCATTTACTCCTCAGTCTTTTGACATAACCTTCTTAGAATGCTTTCATCATAATGAACTACATAATTTTTCTTATTTTAATATCTGTTTGTTCATTCCAGTCATCATAGGGGACAGGTTGAGAGTCACAGTCATTTTCTCACAATGTCATCTTTTACATAAGTTAACATATAGTATGTACTTTAATAATAAATGGAAAGCTCAATGAACAATACATTTTTCAGTGGGTTTTATAATTAGAATAAAGATTCAGAGAAGATATTTCTTTTATATTTTTCCAGGACCTCACAAATGCAGGACTTTTTGGTGAAACATGCACATATAAATATTAAATTTTTTTTATGGAAATGAAATTTATAGAACAAACCACTATTTTCATATTTAGAAAAAAAGAGTATGTCTTCTAAGAGTGCAGCAAAACTCTTCTCTTAATTTTTTATTACATTTTAAAATAACATGGGTATCAGCAAAGCAAAAAAATGCTACCTTAATTTCTTATACATTTTTAAAGGAAAAAATAGTAGACTTGAAGTCCATTTTATAATTTTTTCTTTGTATGTTCACTCCAACATCAAGAATGCTATATATATATATATATATATATAATAATGCTATATATATAATCTGTCAATGGACTTTAATTAGCTGTCTGTAAAGAAACAGAAATTCATTAAGTGTGTTCTAGTCTCATGCAGAGTCAATGAAACTAGCTTTCAGGCTACAGTTTTCTCTTACTCCTGTTCATTCTCATTATTCTTCCAAAGAGATTCTTACCCCTTTTCAAAACAGTGTGTTTTACTTCTTAGAAGTGGCTTTCTTTTGAATGCAATTATTATTTAATGTTTAAATATTAATGTGCAAAAGGAGTTAGGCATTATAGTTCTTAAATCTCATAGTAATATTTTAAAAATAGAATTACCTCATGCAGAGGATGCTCAGGGTTCACAGTTGATTTTGAGTACACTACAGTAAATTGCCAGTTATTGTGGGCCCTCTGGTCTCAACACATTTTTTGCTGTAGGATTTGCTGCCATCTGTGGTGAGGTCTGAAAAGTAAGTGAACTACATCAACAGCTGATTTGGCAAGAGTCTGCAAAACATGTATTCTGGCCCCTTTCCACTGCTAAAAGGTGGGACTGGAGCTGAGTAAGAAGCTCTAGGTTTGCCAGACTCAAACTGAAAAAGGCAATTCAACTCTGAGGAAAAGATGCAAGGAACATGTTATTCGAGTGAATTTTCAGGAAAATCTGTGCACTCTAAAGCAAAACTAGATAAAAACTCTTGGCTAAACTAATGATTCATTACAGGGGAAAAAAACTATCAAGAAACCAAATTGAGATAAAAAACCTAAACTTTGGAAATTAAAAAAATGACCCTTTACATAAGAAGTCAGGCAGAAATAGCAAGCTTCTGTGGAATCATGTAATGAGCACACAGCATTCACTTCACATAATTCATGCATTCTACCACTTACTACTTAGCCAGAGTCACACAGAGATTTCTGGCAAACCACATGAGTTCCTTCATACAGCGAACACTCAATGATCCTATTGCACACAAGGATTATTCAACTTGATATTTTACAAAAATCAATTCTCTCCACAATGGAAAAGAAATCATTACAGTAGAGTAGGTAAAATTACTCTGAATGGATAAGCTCCAGAGTGTGATATGGCAATTTTAATTTTTGTAGTGCATTCAGCTTGGTGAAATGAAAAGAGAATTTGCTTATTCTACAAATATTTATAAGTGTCCCCTTCCTCCTCACTCTCTACCATGTGTTTGCTGGACCACTTATTAGAACACCTAGTTTCAAGTCAGAGTTATAATATCTGATGTATGATTTTTACCAGGTTACTCCTCTCCTTCTTATATGTAAAAGAAGGGCATTCAAATTGAGCAGAAGTTAAAAAACAAAATGTCTGGTAGAAATGACCCTGCTCAACTTTTTTCATGTTCATGGGAGAAAATTCTGTTCATATATTACAACATATACTTATCCCAGTTGAGGCATCTTAGAATCTTTCATGCTTGAACAACTGTTACTGATAGTCTGGAGGGTGAAAGCAAGATTGACTTCTTGGCAGGCCTCCATATTAGGTAACAATTTACATCACATCTCAAGACCAGGGAACCAACCAAACAAAAACCAAAGTTTGCACCTCAGCACAAGCCAAATAACCGAGTCATTATGTTTAATTCTAGTCTCAAAATTAGGGAAAGCTCAGATGTTCTCTGAGTTTTTGACTTCTTAAGTTTTGACTTCCTAATGCAAACACCTTCACCCTTGACTTTTATAATGCTGACAATTGATACCATGTCAGGATCTTCTTGGATATGATAATAATGGGAGAACATTGTTCTTTTTCTACCATAAACAAACTAACTGTAAATTTGATAACCTGGTAATTTTGCAGTTTTGTTTTTCCTTTAAACATATGTTCTGTCTTTATTTGATGAACCGATTTTTCAAAAATCTGGCTCCCTTGCAAACATCTTTTTGAGTAAATGACTTTTTCCTGAATGTTTTTCCTCTGCTTCTTCCTTCCCCAGGAGTTAAAATGTGACATGAAATCTCGCTATTATATTTGGACTAGAAGAGCTGCAAAGAGCATTTTCTGTTCAAATCGCCTAGGATTAAGTCTCCTCATGTAGTAGGTAAGTAAATGACCCAGGTTTCCTCCATTAGTTTTCAGTTCATCCATCTTATTGTTAATGGGCACAGGGTCAAGGGTAGACCGAGGTTTATTGTCATAATTTTAATATTTGGGTTTCATAAATTTTACAGCTTCATAGAATCAATACTTACAATAGCCACTTGTTCTTCAAAGTCTGAATACAAGCAGGACAGTCACAGCTGCTGCTGTAGAAACAATATAATCCATATTCAGAATCACTATACTTCATATTCAGAAACAATAGACTCTAATATATTCATACAAACTAAAGAAAATTGTTCATTAATTTGTTTCTTCTTTTTCTTATTTTAAACAAATGACAGGCAAAATTATTTCTTACTATAGAGTGAAACACCACCTCTTCCTCAAGGCTCAAGCTCAAATTACATATTATGTTCAAGAAAGCTTACGTTAATCCCTTAGTCTTTAATTGCACATTCATATGATAAATCTTTTCTATATATAGAGAGCTATTTTCTTGTTCAAATGGGATTAAAACATTTACATTTTTGTTTGCTTTGGATGTACAAAAGCGATGTTGGTCCCTGGAAAAGCAGGGAAACTGATGAGGAGCCCCAAGGCCTGAGTCCTGTTAGAAGTTGAGGGGCAGTTTTATCTTATGATTTTTAGCCTTTTAGAGTCAACGTGAAGAAAAAATACTGGACAAGCCAGTTTCAAACTGGAAAAGAAAAACTCCGTGCCTCAAGGTTTGGAGGTATTTAATTCTTTTACACATCCTAGGGAATAAGAGGAAGTGGGGACACTAAGCAAGAATGGCTGGAATTTAATGGAGTTTCTCACTTTAAAGCTAGAAGATATGCATGAGGGCTGTTCTAGAAGAAAGGAACCAACAGTGATGTGTTGACTGTGCTTTATGTCCTGAATATCTGAGTTGAGAGTGAGAGAGCCTGAACAGAAAGCATTTCTTCCTGGTTGCTACAGAAATAAAATAGTCTGGAGAACATCTGGGCCTCACAATTATTACTCACCATTAAACCTAAGGGAAGAAGACCCATGAACTTCTCCAGTAACAATGTGGAAAATGATTTCTGGTGCGGGTCAAAAAGGGATAGAACATTTGATAAAAACACAAATCTTTACACAAGTCAGATTTAAAATTCAAGTCTTAGGATAAAAGAAAAAGCAATGTCCCATAAAGTCTGGCTGAGGCAATGGAAATACTGGGCACCAACTCCAGTATATGGAAGATTTTTTTTTCTTTTTTCCAGAATCAAAGTCCTGGCTTCCTCCTCAAGGAGCATCTCATAACAAAAGCATCCAGAGTTCGGGCTGCTTTGGAGGAGCTTCACAGGGAATTTAACAGAATGCAGGGTGGAATGAGGTGAGTAAAGCAGAGGTAAGTGAAGCCCAGGGGACTGATGGCCTCAGTGCTGGGGATGTATAGACAGGGTAAGAGCTGAAGGCACCTTACCCCAGTGGTACATATTGGTGAGACTCAGTGTTGCCTATTGCTTTTGTCTATCTTAGTCTCAGAACTGAAGGCTGTAGAAATTAAATCAAATGCATGTTTAATTAATTCTTCAGGGTTTGACACCTACACTCATTTTCCAAAGCCACAGATCAGAAGATTTGTGATGTAAGCTTGTCAACGATGCTTTGGGCTTTTTAAATGTCTGAGTGAGTAAATTCCATTGGTTGGGCATCCAGATGGAAAGCTGCTCAACACCTCCTCCACATTACCAGTGGAGCAGGAGCTAGACACTATGTGGATATAGAGGTTACTTCCGATGCAGGCTGGGAGGTGAGGAGAGGGGTTGACATTGTGCAGGAGTCAGTAACAGAATTTGTAGACTGAGACTGAGATTGTGCCTGGCATACATGAGCTTAATCACATTTTTGAAACAGACAGTGCTTAGATTTGGTCTCTTCTACTTTTGTCTATCAATAAAGCCTTTCTTAAACTGGCCTGTCCTTTATCATCCTTCTACTTCTTCTAATCTAGTGTATCATTTTTGCCACTAACCTAACTAAAAATGAATAAGGTATTAGATAATGGTTTAAGCTGCAACACTTTTCAGAATGTCAGTAAGGCATGCTTGGAGATCTTCCTTCAAAGATTTCTATACTGAAATAAATGAATGTCGAAAGTCAAATGACTGCTAGTAACAATTGGTACATTTGACCAGTGGCCGCTAGGACTTGTGGGAGAGGCTCAGGTGTTATTATTATCTATCCCTGTCAATAAAATCTGTTCCTAATTTCCTTGAGTGACTTTTCATATGAACATATAATCAGGCTATGTGCATGTCCTTTTCATGTTATGCTAATGAAGACTTCTGAAGAAGAAAGTAACCAATAGTGATTTTTTAAGCAGCTTTGCATATGTGATGGGAGAAATATATACACAAAAAATTATTCTGAATGGCTTATACTTAACCTGAAACTCTCTGAAAAAAATTTACAAAAGAAAAATCATCACACAATTGATGAACTCCTTGATGTCATCAGGCTCTCTGATTAGGTGTGAGTATCCATGGGACCCCTGAGTCCCTGATATCTAAAAGATGAAACCAATAGCTCATCTCTCTCAAAGAAGCCAGATTCTTGGGGCTCCTGCCTGGCTATAGGCATGAAGAGGTGGAAGATGCCCAGAGTCACCATGTAGCTATCCACAGTTCACACTGGAAGACTTGAAAGTGAAAGGGAGTGTTATTCATAACTACACTGGGAAAGCAGGATGAAACCAAGACTTTCCCAGATGAACTGAGACATATGATCTCCTTAGCATTGCACTCTGTCCAGCTGGATAGCTTGATTTTTAAATACTGCCTGGACCTCTTGGCATCAGCAAAGAACAGGTTAGATTGCCCCAAAGAGCACTCTGTAGAACATGGCCCATGCTACTACCTACAGTCTGGCAGCATCACTGGCCTCTCTGCTACAATATGTTCTGATCTTACTTGTAATAAAATAGGTCACGAGACTTATTGAGTACATTAAAAAAGAAGAGTTATCTGGGTAGTGAACACACGTGGACCCAGGTCTCGAGTCTTTAGGAATTGATAGGTTTTACCAGAAGTCTTCTGGAGTTCATTTTAGAAAGCAAATCATCATTGATGGCCTGACATCAGCTGCTACCAAGTACCAAGGATAGGAGGTGGGGAACTTGCTTTTGGCAATGATGTATAGCACCTGCCTTAAGTTTGTGGGTGGGCACATGCTGCTTTAACAGCTTGGGCAAGTGCCCCAAGGCTTCCCAGCATGGCCTCTGGAGTCAGAGTGCTTGGGTGTTAATCCCAATTTGCTCACTTAGTATCTGTGTAGGCAAGGCACTTAGCTGCCTCGTTCCTCAGTTGTCACAACTGTGAGATGAAAATAATAACACTAACAACATTTATAGCCTTGTTTAAAATATTAGAAACTTGTAACAGTGACTGGCAATGAATATTAAAGGATCCCATGGTACCTATACCCTCAGTTCATGACAATGAGTAGAGCTGGAACAGCTGAAGCCCATTAAATAGCCCCCATTGCTAAAACATTTGTGTTTTACCATCTCCTGGTGCAATTTATGTTGATCATTTTTCTGTTCCCTTAACAGCAGCTTGGTAAGGCACATATTTCCAGCTGAGAGATCGGATAGAGAACTTTCACTCTTAGAAGACTCATTAGGAGTTTGCTAAAGGCAGGGGTAAGTAAGTCCCTTGCCTTGACTAGGCCAGATTCTTTTGGGATAAGCAATGAGACAGAAATTTTAGTGCATCAAGTCTAGGAGCCATTCAAGGAATTATTCTGTTGCCTTTTATTCTCTATTTGCAATAGCATCACACAACACTCAGGTATCATCACATTTGTTTTAGCTCACTGCATGTGAGGTGAATTCTTCCAAAAGTGCTAGCAGGTTTTCCTTCATTCCCAAAAGGGAAAATGAGTTTGCTCATTTCCTGCTTTTGTGGGTGAAAACCCAGAGACAAAATTGTCTACCACAGGATAATTCTAAGTAAACCGTTTTCTGACTGGTTTTATTATTCCTGAGGAAAGAAACAAGTCGAGATCAATAAGTGGTTCCCTTTTTTGAGGTTGGCATTGGAAAGTAAGCTGGCAGGAGTTTGAACTAAGGGTCTCCAAGGAACTTTGCAAACATATATTCCTTTTGCTACAGCAACAGGAAATTTATCTTTCTGAAAACAGGTATATACAAATCTTGGTGTGTTTTTCTCAAGAAGAAAAGACATTACCATTTATTGCTTTCTTGAAAAAAAGGAAAAGATCCTTAAATATATGGTGATAGTTAAGAGGCATTTCAATGCTATAAAATGGAATTTAACTCAGATTTTAGGGAAACTTTGCCACTGTGGATATGGATAAATGGAGGAAACTTATAGTTTTGTTCCTTTATTTCACTGTAATATTTACATACCAGGGACTAGCAGAGTGGCCCTATTTGATGAGTGTTCACAGTGGAATCCCTTTTAGCTACAATGCTTGCTGCCTTTCCCCAGGGTGCTCTGATCTCAGCAGCATGGTCACAGTAAGATCCAGGTTAACCCAGGGGCTGCCTTGGAGATGTGAAATACTGGGCAGGCTGACTAAGGAAGGTGGCTGTACATATTATCTGGAAAGCCCCTCACTTAACTGCACTGTGTATCAAGACGCCACTTTGGCTGTCTCTGTGTGTCCCCAAAAGGGAAAAGGAGTTTGCTGATCAGCACAGAAAATATCCTGGAGGCTTAGTCTTAGCTTTGTCCTTCACCGTAGTTCTGCCTTGGGTTCCTTTATTTAATTCTCTTGTCTTATATTTTAATGCTCTTGTCCTACCCTTTCTTCCTTGCCCTGTGAGTCATTTTGTTTCCATGATTTTTTTTTTTTTTTTGTATTTTGTGTTAGTCTTTGATTTGGGCTTTTCATTAGCATTTCTGCTCCCTTCTACATTCTCTCTCATATTTCAGAGGCTAGAAGCCTGGAAACTACTTTTCCTATGCTTCCTTGCTTGCAGATTTCTGGTTTATGTAGGAATCAATGAGAGGTTCTCACATGATGTTTAGAAGGTTGGAGAGAAGAAGCAATTATTTCCCCAGCAGTGGTCAGCAGGCACATGGGCTCTAGAAAGCAGCAATCGTGTGGTCTTGACAATAGTTTGGGGATGTCCACACATGATTCAGCAGTGGTGGTTCCCTGCAATTCCTGTGCTTTCAGCTAACTGAAAGCTAGCAGAGGCTGTCCTGACTTTTACTCTTCAACATCCAACAGCTCTTCCAATTGCTTTGTGAGCCTCTGACACTTGGTATTCAAAACTTTTCTGGGTAAAATACTTAGAATGGTTTTAATTTTCCAGACCAAACTCTGATTAACAATGTAGCCAAGTTTTAGATAGTGTATGTCAAGACTAAATAGGAAACACCTTTGGATACTAACTTAAGCAATTTTATCCACACACTATAAAGTATGGTGTTGAGAGACCACTCAATTGCCAGCCTTGGGACCCAAAATTTTACCAGGCAGGAATTCGCAGCCTCTTCTCCTCATGGAGATAAAGGAGAATATTTATTCCAGTTTTCTTAATATCATTGCTCTGAGCAGTATTATTTTCTTCTACTTAACAGAAAGAGAAGCTGAGGGTTCGCAATTCTAAGTAGCAGCAAAGCTGATGAGAAGCAAAAGTATGATTTGAGCCAAATTTTCTGTGCTATTTCTATAACCCCTCTGAATTCTTATCTGTAACAGAACTTTGAGGAATCCCTTAAATATAATTATAATCCTCTATTTCCTTTTGGTATTTTGACGATAGGTATTTATGGTTGTCAGATTTTAAAATCTGCTTTCTAGAAAACTTAATAACTGTGAAAGCAAAACTCTGGAGTGGTAGTGATAGTATTAAAAAGTATCACTTAAAAGCAGTAAAACATGTCAGACACTGTGCTGAGCATTTTAGTTGCTCATTAAATCATTAAAATAATCCAGATAGTCATTCACTTTTACCATCTCTGTTTAAACAAAATAAAAGCTGAGACTCACAGAAGCTAAGTCCAAAGTTATTTAGTTGGTTTATAGTGAAGCCAGGGGGGAAACTCAGCTCTCTCCACCTCCAATGCTTCTGTTGATCCATTTGTTGGGCATTTTCTTTATGTCAGGTAGTGTTTTAGGTGCATAGGGAGGAAAAAGCAAGTATCATACAGAAACTAACATGGAAGAGGAAATGAGGAAGGGTGTGATGGAATCCAATTTGAAAAATTTACAGTGACTAGCAGGTACACACCTTCCATCAGTATGTTGTTATGATTATTAAGGATGAAATAAAACATTTTTAAAATATATGTGTATTAGCTTTTCAAATAGTTACAAATTTGTTAAGATATAGATATTTATTAAGTAGTTGGAAACTAATTATTTAATAAAAAACCGAGAATGTCATGAAAAGAAATACTGAGATACTAAGAATGTTATGAACTGAGAAAGTTTGGGAACCTCTGGACTGTGAGATAGAAGTGCAGTAAATTTCAACTTTAAATTTAATGATGTAATCTTAAAATTTAGTTGATTATTCTAAATTTTAAGGTTTCTTCTTTCCTCAAAGAATATCTCAATCCCCTTAGATGTATGTGCTCTGTGCTTTGATTTAAAAACATTTCTGAAAGCAAAGAGATACAGAGAGACAGGATTTTCTTAATAAAACAATGCCTCTTCCATTTGCTATTACTAATCTTTCACCAGTTTTTCATTATAAAAACCCTTATAAAAATGCTACTTTGCCTCAGAAATTAATTGTGAGAAAAGGAATTGGGTGCTCAGAGTCTAGATTGAAAATGAGCAAAGAATCACTTCTCCAGAGAATGATCTGATCTTTGTCCATCATTTCGTACCATGTCTTAGTGCTTACAGGGATTATGAAAAAAATGCCTATTATGATTAGTAGACAAAATAGAGGCTGTTTGATAAAGTGGTGCTGAACCAAAAAAGTCGATTCCTTCCACATTTACTTATTTATTTGTATAAATGTATGGGGTACAAGTGTAATTTTGTTAAACACATACATTGAATAGTAGTGAAGTCAGGCCTTTTAGGTTACTCATTACCCAAATAATGTACATTGTAACCATTAAGTAATCTCTCATCATCCAACTCCTCCCACCACCTTACCCTTCCAAGTCTCCATTGTCTATCATTCCATACACTACATCTATGTGTACACATTATTTATCTCCCACTTACAGACGAGAACACGTGGTATTTGTCTTTCTGTGTCTCATTTTTTTCACTTAAGAGAATGGCCTCTAGTTCCATTCATGTTGCTGCAAAAGGTATTATTTCATTTTTTTTGTGCTTTAGTATATATATGCCACATTTTCTTTATCCAGTTATGCATTGATGGACACTTCGGTTGGTTTTATCTCTGTGCTATTGTGAATAATGATGTGATAAACATACAGGTACAGGTATCTTTTTGATATAATGACTTATTTTCCCCTGGGTAGATACTCAGCAGTAGGACTGCTGGATTGAGTGGTAGTTCTGTCTTGAGTTCTATGAGAAATCTCCATACTGTTTACCGTAGAGGTTGTACTAATTTATATTCCCACCAACAGTGTATAAGAGTTCCCTTTTCTCCACATCTTTGACAATATCTGTTAAATTTTTTCCTTTTAATAATAGACATTCTGACTTGTGTAAGATGATGTCTCATTGTGGTTTTAATTTGCAGTTCTCTGATGAATAGTGATGTTGAGCATTTTTTCATATTTCTGCTAACCATTTTCATGTCTTCTTTTGAAAAATGTCTATTCATGTTCCTTGCCCACTTTTTAATGGGATTATTTGTCTTTTTTGTTGTTGTTTAGTTCCTTACAAATTTTGGATATTAATTCCCTGTCACATGCATAGTTTGCAAATATTTTCTCCCGTTCTATAGGAGAATTTCTGTTCATTCAGTTTCTGTTCATTCAGTTAATTATTTATTTTACTATGCAGAAAGCTTTTTAGTTAAAACTATCTATATCCTAATCTCAAATATATGTAAGGTAATTTCAGGCTCTATGTGATTTTATAAATCCTTCTTTTCATTCACTATATCACAGTGTTTTAATCACTGCAACTTAACACACATTTTATTATACTATCTAGTAGGGTAAGTTATCTCAATTTTTTTCTTAAAAAATCAGCTATTGTTATATATTCTCACAGATAAATTTTAGAATGATTCTTCTTGAATTTTATTGAATGATAACAGGTGCTACTAAATAGTTCTTTGTTTCTTATTGTACATCTCTTAAAATATTGCACTTATCCTGTGTATTCTAAGTAACGTACTGTAATTTTGTATGTGTCAGTATATTTTCCAAATCCTACCTTTTGTGTCACTTATTTATATAGTTCTAAAATTGGAGAGGTCTATACTCTGAAAAAAAAAGAACAGAGAGGTTAAGTAAACTATAGACACTTCAACATTTATGAAGTATAGAACAAAAAGGTAATGAGAGGCCAGAGTTTGAGCAGTCTAATCTAGAGGTATTTTGGATACATGCTACCTGGCTTCCAGGCCTAACTAAAACCCATGTCATCTGTAGGAACTAGGGCCGTTTTTATATCCACTTGTGTGTAAAAATAGTACTTACTTCCCAGGATTGCTGTGAGAATTAAGTGAGCTAATACATGTAGGCCTTTATTGTAGTACCTGAGACACAGAAAAGCTCATTAAATATAGCTGTTTTCTCAGAGCTGGTGATAAGTCAGTAAAGAGTTTTAGGAGGGAATGCCATTGCTAAAGCCATCTTATAGAAAGCTCACTCTGGCTGCAGTGTGGAGGATGAATTGGGTTTGGGAAATAGACTGGAAATGAAGAGCTCAGTATAATGGCCTGATTGTGTGTATAGAGTGTTGGGGAAATACAATTAAAAACAAAACATTCTTTCCACCCAATATTCCTCCCACCAAGGTAGTAGAGAAAAAACATATTTATTACTGAATAGGCATTAAACCAATGTGATGTCCATCACAGGCAATGTGCTAAAAGATTGCAAAAATAGAAAGGAATCTCTCCCTTTTAAACGACCAAGCAGATACAACTCATTGCATACCTATTTTCAAGATAAACAATAATCCTCAAGTAAGAGGACTGGGCAGCACCTTTTGTCACACATTGTTCATCATAACTTTATCATGGCAATTGGAACAACAATCTATGTTAGTTAATTGGCTTCATCCAGAGGAAAAAAACAAACTTCTCATATCTTTATGACAGGAGGTATTTTTGCAACTTTGAATAAGGTGCCTACTGAAGTTAGACTTCTACCCTCCCACAGAAACTGGGAAATAGGGTTGTTCTCTCTCTCTTGTTGCTGACATTTCAAAGGGATAGCTCCCAGGTATTTCAGAAAGACATTCCTAGGACATAAAACTGACAAAACATCTATCTACTTTTTAAAAGGCTTCTCAGTGGAGATACCACAGCTTGCCTGTAGTTTGTCCTCCCTTCCTTCCACACAGAGATCCTAGGCTTTGACCAAAGGCCCCACATTCATGTGCCATCCATGATTTTAAAAAATTATTTCCCTAAAAATTCATATCCTGTTTGTTTCTATAAGAAACTTGCACAGTATGGTGCTTGGTATTATTATTTTCTGATTGGTAAATTATCTCATGTCTTTCTTAATATTCATTTTGCCTCTCATTGGTCAATTAGTTCTGTGTTTAGGCCCATCGTGATATCATTTTTGCAGAAGTTCCTCAGGGTTTC